>NC_000005.10:92534049-92837079 GCF_000001405.40 Homo sapiens | reverse complement strand
GCTATAAACTCCTAGGTTATGAATCATGTGCTCATATCTTATAAATTTTGAGATGAAGTGGCATATATAGTGCCTGTGGAGTTCCAGAATGGCCAAACCTAATCCAAAATCTTTGAACAAACAACACTATAAGATCTGTGGTGTTCTTTCATGTACAACTGAGGTTTTTCAGCCAAGACTGACTAATTAGTGCTAGTTAGGAAAGACTGTCCACCTGGGTTTACCCTCCTCTTAACACCCCCACATCTCCCTGAATCTTGGCTAAGGGGTACTGGAGCTGCCAGCCCATCCTCTGTGCCTCTCAGTTTTCCCCTACTATCTGTCCACAGCACTGCCACCTCTCACCCAATGGCCATGCCCTCCAGCTTTCAGTCAACCTCAATGGCATGGCCATTCTTTCAAAGTTGCTCCCACTCTTCATTTAATCTGGTTAGAAAAAATGACACACTAAAGCATTTTGATAAACAAATTAGAACATAATGATAGTTTTCCATATTGTTATATGATGTGACATATAAAATGAAGCAAAGTAGGAGTTGTTTTAAAGGGTGGTAGGAAGAATCTTCTTACCTGCCAGCTGTGTTCACCAAGTATTTACCTTCACCTAGATATTGTCTGCAGGACCATGTTAGTCCTATACAGATGCCTTTAAATAGTACTAGTCATTAATATAATTTGATATCAACTTGGAAGCAGCTACTGTTTCTTTAGTGTTCACATTGGGTGGCATGTGCCTTGTATATATTATTTCATTTAATCCTTAGCAATCATGCTCAGGTAGGTGTTATCATCCCTTTACACATGGCTAGAAACAAAGCAAAGCAAAACTAAACTAAACTAAAGCTAGAACAACACCAAACAGTAATATTACATTTCTCTCAAGTCTTAGGCTGAGTAAGTTGCAGAGGTGGGATTTGCTATTAGTGTATTCTGACTCCAAATCCCAAATTCCTCCCACACCACCATGATGAAAAAAATAAGTTTTAAGGAGGGACTGGAGAAGCAACAAAGAAAAATGTTTAGAAGGGGAAGACCCAGATGAGAGACTGGCAAGCCACAAGGTAACACAAAATCTAAGAGAGTCTCTGAATGTTGACAAACTGATGAAGAATAAAAAGTTTCCAGGAATTTCATAATGTTCTCTCCTTGCCATGTTTATGCAAGCTTGCTGTTTATGTGAGGCCAGCATGTGAGACTGGAAAGGAGTTCAAAGTGGATGCTGAAATGAAGAAACTCCAGCTTTAAAAATTTGCTTGCCATATTCAGATATCAAATGATATGCTTTAAAGAAGTACTGTATAAAAGGTATTGTTGGAGGGGCCAAGATGGCTGACTAGAAAAAGCTGCAGTTGGAGGCTCCCGCTGAGAAGAATGAAAACTGTGAGTGAATCCTGCACCAGAAACTGAGGTCTCCAGATTCTCTCACTGGGACTGACTAGGTGATTGGCACGACCCATGGAGAAGGAGGAAAAGCAGGGTGGAGTGACAGCGCACCTGGGAGATGCACGGGGCAAGGGGCAAGGGGAGGTCCCACCTCCAGTCAAGAGAGGTGGTAAGTGTGCTACCCCACCTGGGAAACCATGCTTTTGCCACAGATCTGTGCAACCTGTGGATCAGGAGATCCCCTGGTGAGCCCACGCCACCAGTGCCTTGGGGCCCAAGAACAGAGCTGTGCAAATTCTCCATGGCCGCTGGGCTGGAGATTGCCTAAGACTACTGAGTTACTGAGTTCCTGGCGGAGGGCGGGGGCGGGGGTGGGCAGCTGCCATCACTACAGATGCCAGCTACTTAAGACAACTGGGCTTCCCAAGAGAGAGGCAGCCACCATCACTTCAGCTGCCTGCTGCTTAAGACGACTGAGCTCCTGGAACGAGGGGCGGCAGCCATCACTGTAACTCCAGCCTGCTGTTTTCCCCTGGTGGTGCTGGGGAAACTGGATGGTGTGGAGTCAGGAAGGATTCCCCACAGAGCAGCACAGTGGCTGTGGCAGATTGTGGCCAGACTGACTCTTTAGGCTGGACCCAGACCAGGCCTCCCTGTGGGAATTTCAGCAACTCTAGCCAGGGGCTTAGGGACAGAACTGTGATCTCCTTGAGATGGAGCCCCTAGAGGGAGGGGCGGACGTGATCTCCACAGATCAGAGAATTTAGTCTTTCCCCCTGCTGGCTTTGAGGAATCAAGGCAGTCCCTGACGAGTGGGATTTCCTGGTGCCACCAAGTGGCAGCCAGAGTGCTTTGTTAAGCAGGTGTCTGATCCTGTGCCTTCTGACTGGGTGAGACCCCCAAATAGGGGTCACCAGACACCTTATGCAGGAGTGTTTCCGTTGGCATCAGGTCGGTGCCCCTCCGGGACAGAACTCCCAGAGGAAGAAGCAGGCAGCCATCTTTGCTGTTCTGCAGCTCCCACTGGTGACACCACCAGATGCGAGAGGGACCCAGGCGAATAGGTTTTGGAGTGGACCCCCAGCAAACAGCAGCAGCCCTAGGGAAGAGGGTCCTGACTATTAAAAGAAAAACAAACACACAGAAAGCAACAACAACAACAACAACAACATGAACAAAAATTTTCTCACAAAATCCCCATCCAAGGGTTAGCAACCTCAAAGATTGAAGCTAGAGAAACTCATGAAGATGAGAAAAAAATCAACAAAAAATGCTGAAAATTCAAAAAGCCCAAGTGCCTCTTCTCCTCCAAATGATCACAACACTGCTCCAGCAAGGGCACAGAAATGGGCTGAGGCTGAGCTGGATGAACTGAGAGAAGTAAACTTCAGAAGTTGGGTAATAACGAACCGCACTGAGATAAAGGAGCATGTTCTAACGCAATGCAAAGAAGCTAAGAACCATGATAAAATATTACAGGAGCTGTTAATCAGAATAACCAGTTTAGAGAGGAACATAAATGACCTGAAGGAGCTGAAAAACACAACACAAGAACTTCACAATGCAACTACAAGTATCAATAGCCAAATAGACCAAGCAGAGGAAAGAATTTTGGAGCTCAAAGACTACATATCTGAAACAAGACAGGCAGACAAGATTAGAGAAAAAAGAATGAAAAGGAATGAACAAAACCACTGAGAACTATGGGATTATGTAAAAAGACTGAACCTATGACTGACTGGGGTACCTGAAAGAGACGGAGAGAATGGAACCAAGTTAGAAAACATACTTCAGGATATCATCCAGGAGAACTTCCCCAGCCTAGCAGCTTGGTCACCTACAAAGTGAAGCCCATCAGACTAACAGCAGACCTCCTAACAGAAACTCTACAAGCTAGAAGAGATTGGGGACCAATATTCAGCATTCTTAAAGAAAAGAATTTCCAACCTAGAATTTCATATCTGGCCAAACTAAGCTTCATAAGTGAAAGAGAAATAAAATTCTTTTCAGACAAGCAAATGCTGAGGGAATTCATTACCACCAGCCCTGCATTGCAAGAGCTCCTGAAAGAAGCACTAAATATGGAAAGGAAAAATTGTTACCAGCCACTACAAAACCACACTGAAGTACAATGGCCAATGATGCTATGAAGCAACCACATCAACAAGTCTGCAAAATAACCAGCTAGCATCATGATGATAGGATCAAATTCACACATAACAATATTAATCTTAAATGTAAATGAGCTAAATGCCCCAATTAGAAGACACAGAATGGAAAGCTGGATAAAGAGTCAAGACCCATTGGTGTGCTCTATTCAGGAGACCCATATCATAAGCAAAGACACACATAGGCTCAAAATAAAGGGATGAAGAAAAATCTACCAAGCAAATGGAAAGCAGAAAAAAAGCAGAGGTTGTAATCTTAGTTTCTGACAAAACAGACTTTAAGAAAGATCAAAAAAGACAAAGAAGGGCATTACATAATGGTAAAGGGATCAATTCAATAAGAAGAGCTAAGCATCCTAAATATATGCACACAATACAGGATCACCCAGATTCATAAAACAAGTTCTTAGAGACTTAAAAAGAGACTTGGACTCCCATATAATAATGGGAGACTTTAACACCCTACTTTCAATATTAGATCATCTAGACAAAATTAATAAGGATATTCAGGACTTGAACTCAGCTCTGGATCAATTGGATCTGATAGATATCTATAGAACTTTACACCCCAAAACAACAGTATATACATTCCTCTTGGTGCCACATGGCACTTTAAAATCAATCATATGATTGGAAGTAAAACACCCATCAGCAAATGCAAAAAAACTAAATCATAACAAAGAGTCTCTCAGACCTAAGAGCAATCAAATTAGAACTCTCGATTAGGAAACTTACTTAAAACAACACAACTACATGGAAATTGAACAACCTGCTCCTGAATGACTCCAGTAAATACTGAAATTAGGGCAGATAAAAAGAAGTGTTTTGAAACCAATGAGAACAAAGAGACAATGTACTAGAATCTTTGCGACGCTGCTAGAGCAGTGTTAAGAGGGAAATTTATAGCACTAAATATCCACATCAAAACACTAGAAATATCTCAAACTGACATTCTAATATCACAACTAAAAGAACTAGAGAATCAAAAGCAAACAAACCCCAAAGTTAGCAGAAGACAAGAAATAACCAAGATCAGAGCAGAACTGAAGGAGACAGAGACACAAAAACAGTTTAAAAAATCAATGAATCCAGGAGCTGATTTTCTGAAAAAAATTAATAAAATCGACTGTTAGGTAGACTAATAAAGAAAAAAGGAGAGAAGAATCAAATAGACACAACAAAAAGGGGCTATCATCCCTTGATGATAAAGGGGATATCACCAATGACCCCACAAAAATACAATTATCAGAGAATGCTATAAACAGCTCTATCCAAATAAACTAGAAAATATAGCAGAAATAGATAAATTTCTGGACACATACAGTGTCCCAAGACTGAGCAAGAAAGAAGTTTAATCCCCGAACAGACCAATTACAAGTTCTGAAATTGAAGCAAGAATAAATAGCCTACTAACCGAAAAAAGCCATGGACCAGATGGTTTTGCTGCTGAATTTTACCAGAGGTACAAAGAAGAGCTGGTACTATTTCTTCTGAAACTATTCCAAACAATTGAAAAAGAGGAACTCCTCCCTAATTTATGAGGCCAGCATCATCCTGATACCAAAACCTATCAGAGATACAGCAAAAAAAGAAATCTTCAGGCCAATATCCCTGATGAACATCAATGCAAAAATCCTCAATAAAATGCTGGAAAACTAAATCCAGCTGCATACCTAAAAGCTTATCCACCACAATTAAGTTGGCTTCATCCCTGGGATGCAAGGCTTGTTCAACATATGCAAATCAATAAATGTAATTCATCACATAAACAGAACTAAAGACAAAAACCACATGGTTATCTCAATAGATGCAGAAAAAGCCTTTGATAAAATTCAACATCCCTTCATGTTAAAAACTCTCAATAAACTAGGTATTGATGGAACATACCTCACAATAATAAGAGCCATTTATGACAGTCTCACAGCCAATATCATACTAAATGAGCAAAGGCCAGAAGCATTCCTCTTGGAAACTGGCACAAGATAAGAATGCCCTCTCACACCACTCCTATTCAGCATAGTATTGGAAGTTCTGACCAGAGAAATTAGGGAAGAGAGAGAAATAAAGTGTATTCAAATAGGAAGAGAGGAAGTCAAACTGTCTCTGTTTGCAGATGAAATGAACCTATATCTAGAAAACCCTATCATCTTAGCAAAAAAAATAAAGCTGATAAGCAACTTCGGCAAAGTCTGAGGGTACAAAGTCAATGTGCAAAAATCACAAGCATTCCTATACACCAACAACAGACAAGCCAAGTGTCAAATCATGAATGAACTCCCATTCACAACTGCTACAAAGAGAATAAAATACCTAGAAATACAGATAACAAGGGAAGTGAAAGACTCTTCAGGGAGAACTACAAACCACTGCTCAAGGAAATCAGGGAGGAAGCAAACACATGGAAAAACATTCCATGCTCATTGATAGGAAGAATCAATATCATGTCAATGGCCATACTTCCCAAAGTAATTTATAGATTCAATGCTATTCCCATCAAACTACCATTGGCATTCTTCACAGAATTAGGAAAAACTATTTTAAAATTTATATGGAACCAAAAAAGAGCCCGTATAGCCAAGACAACCCTATGAAAAAAGAACAAAGCTGGAGGCATCATGCTACTAGACTTCAAACTATACTATAAGGCTACAGTAATCAAAATGGTATGGTACTGGTGCACAAACAGACACATAGAACAATGGGACAGAATAGAGAACTCAGAAATAAGACCACACATCTACAACTATCTGATCTTTGACAAATCTGACAAAAATAAGCAATGGGGAAAGGATTCCCTATTTAACAAATGGTGCTGGAAAAACTGGCTAGCCATATGCAGAAAATTGAAACTGGATCCCTTCCTTAAACCTTATATGAAAATTAACTCAAGATGGATTAAAGACTTAAATGTAAAACTGCAAACTATAAAAACCCCAGAAGAAAATCTAGGCAATACCATTCAGGACATAGACATGGGCAAAGATTTCACAATGAAAATGTCAAAAGCAATTGCAATAAAAGCAAACCTTGACAAATGGGATCTAATTAAACTAAAGAGCTTATGTACAGCAAAAGAAACTATCATCAGAGCAAACAAACAACCTATAGAGTGGGAGAAAATGTTTGCAATCTATCCATCTGACAAAGGTCTAATATCCCGAATCTACAGAGAACTTAAACAAATTTACAAGAAAAAAAACAATCAATTAAAAAGTGGACAAAGGACATAAACAGACACTTCTCAAAAGAAGAAATTTATGTGGCCAACAAACACATGAAAAGTAGCTCAACATCACTGATCATTAGAGAAATGCAAATCAAAACTATAATGAGGTACCATCTCAAGCCAGTCAGAATGGCAATTAAAAAGTCAAGGAACAACAGCTGCTGGTGGCTATGGAGAAATAGAAACACTTTTACACAGTTGATGGGAATGTAAATTAGTTCAACCTTTGTGGAAGATGGTGTGGCAATTCCTCAAAGACCTAGAACCAGAAATACCATTTGATCCAGCAATCCTATTACTTGGTATATACCCAAAGGAATATAAATTATACTATTATAAAGATACATGGACATGTATGTTCATTGCAGCACTACTCACAATAGCAAAGATATGAAATCAACCTAAATGCCCATCAGTGATAGCCTGGATAAAGAAAATCTGGTACATATATACCATGGGTTACTATGCAACCATGAAAAGGAATGAGATCATGTCCTTTGCAAGGACATGGATAGAGCTGGAAGCCATTATTCTCAGTAAACTAATGCAGGAACAGAAAACCAAACACCATGTGTTCTCCCTTATAAGTTGGAGCTTTTCATGCACGTCCGTGTGAAGAGACCACCAAACAGGCTTTGTGTGAGCAACATGGCTGTTTATTTCACCTGGGTGCAGGCGGGCTGAGTCCGAAAAGAGAGTCAGTGAAGGGAGATAGGGGTGGGGCCATTTTATAGGATTTGGGAAGGTAATGGAAAATTACAGTCAAAGGGTGTTGTTCTCTGGTGGGCAGGGGCGGGGGTCACAAGGTGCTCAGTGGGGGAGCTTCTGAGCCAGGAGAAGGAAATTCACAGGGTTAATCACTCAGTTAAGGTGGGGCAGAAACAAATCACAATGGTGGAATGTCATCAGTTAAGGCGGGGCAGGGCCTTTTCACTTCTTTTGTGATTCTTCAGTTACTTCAGGCCATCTGGGCGTATATGTGCAAGTCACAGGGGATGCGATGGCTTGGCTTGGGCTCAGAGGCCTGACATTCCTGCCTTCTTATATTAATTAGAAAAATAAAATAGTGTTGAAGTCTTGGGGTGGTGAAAATTTTTGGGGGGTGGTATGGAGAGAGAATGGACAATGTTTCTCAGGGCTGCTTCAAGCGGGATTGGGGCAGCATGGGAACCTAGAGTGGGAGAGATTAAGCTGAAGGAAGATTTTGTGGAAAGGGGTGATATTGTGGGGTTGTTAGAAGAAACATTTGTCATTTAGAATTATTGGTGATGGCCTGGATACGGTTTTGTATGAATTGAAAACTAAATGGAATAAGAGAAGGAGAAAAACAGGTATAAAAGGTCTAAGAATTGGGAGGACCTAGGACATCTGATTAGAGAGTGCCTAAGGAGATTCAGCATAGTCCTGCCAGCAAAGATTATTTATTTACTTCAAGAGTTAAGAGTGGTGGTTTGGGGATAGCACAAGGAGATATCAGTTGTGATGGCTTGGAGAAACAGTGTAAACTGGCAGTGTAAACAAGAGCAGGGCATGTATGAGTAGTTGAGAATGGAGAATAGGAGTATGACTAGACAGAAAATAGTAGGGATGACAAGTTTTTTTGGGGGCACAGTCTAAGTTGGTCCGGTGTCTGGAATGAGACTGGGGCCTAATAAAAAGGAGTATCTATACAGGAACTTAAATGGGCTGTACCTTGTAGCATTCTGAGGACAGATCTGACTTCTGAGAACAGATCTGACTTCTGAGAAGGGAAAGTGGTAAAACTATTGTCCAGTTCTTTTTAAGTTGGTGGCTGAGCTTGGTGAGGTGTGTTTTTAAAAGACCTTTAGTCCGTTCTACTTTTCTTGAAGACAGAGGACTATAAGGGATATAAAGGTTTCACTGAATACTAAGAGCCTGAAAAACTGCTTGGCTGATTTGACTAATAAAGGCTGGTCTGTTATCAGACTGTATAGAGGTGGGAAGGCTAAGCTGAGGAATTATGTCTGACAGAAGGGAAGAAATGACTGCGGTGGCCTTCTCAGACCCTGTAGGAAAGGCCTCTACCTATCTAGTGAAAGTGTCTACTTAGACTAAGAAGTATTTTAGTTTTTGTGACTCGGGGCATGTTGAGTAAAGCTAATTTGCCAGTCCTGGGCAGGGGCAAATCCTCGAGCTTGATGTGTAGGGAAGGGAGGGGGCCTGAATAATTCTTGAGGAGTAGTAGAATAGCAGATGGAACACTGAGAAGTTATTTCCTTGAGGATAGATTTCTACAATGGAAAGGAAATAAGAGGTTCTAAGAGGCGGGCTAGTGGCTTGTACTATAGCATAGCCTGCCTTTGCTGGTGTGTGGCGATTAGGCCTGGTGGAACTGCCATCAAGAAATCAAGCGTGATCAGGGTGAGGAACAGGAAAGAAGGAAATATGGGGAAATGGGGTGAATGTCAGGTG
The DNA here is from genome assembly GCF_000001405.40 of Homo sapiens. NCBI lineage: Eukaryota > Metazoa > Chordata > Mammalia > Primates > Hominidae > Homo > Homo sapiens. Next base: position 92,827,869 of record NC_000005.10, on the reverse strand, counting down.
GATCAGAGAGATACAGTCATGGGGGTCAGGTGTGGTATCAGGAATAATGTGGGAGGCCAGATTGAAGTCCAGGCCAAGAACAATGGTAATTGTGGGACTTAACAAAGAGTGAGTACAGTTGAAGAAGCCGGGGAGCAGAAAGTATATGCGTCAGGTATGAGGAAGAAAATAGATTTTGGAAGTTATGAGAAATGTAGAGAGTGAGTTGAGCATAGTTTGTGATTCTTAGGGCCTCTAAAAGTATTAAAGCAGTGGCAGCCACTGCACGCAGACATGAGTGCTAGGCTAAAACAGTAAGGTCAAGTTGTTTGGACAGAAAGGCTACAGGGCGCGGTCCCGGCTCTTGTGTAAGAATTCTGACCGCGCTAACCATGCCTAGAAAGGAAAGGAGTTGTTGTTTTGTAAGGGATTGAGGTTTGGGAGATTAATCAGACACGATCAGCAGGGAGAGCACCTGTGTTTTTATGAGAATTATGCCGAGATAGGTAACAGATGAGGAAGAAATTTGGGCTTGATTGAAGTAATGGGGGCTGTCTGTGAAGCTTTGCAGCAGTACAGCCTAGGTAATTTGCTGAGCTTGATGGGTGTCAGGGTCAGTCCAAGTGAAAGCGAAGAGAGGCTGGGATTAAGGGTGCAAAGGAATAGTAAAGAAAGCATGTTTGAGATCTAGAACAGAATAATGGGTTGTAGAGGTAGGTATTGAGGATAGGAGAGTATATGGGTTTGGCACCACGGGGTGGATAGGCAAAACAATTTGGTTGATAAGGCGCAGATCCCAAACTAACTTGTAAGGCTTGTCTGGTTTTAGGACAGGTAAAATGGGGGAATTGTAAGGAGAGTTTAGAGGCTTTAAAAGGCCATGCTGTAGCAGGAGAGTGATAACAGGCTTTAATCTTTTTAAAGCGTGCTGCGGGATGGGATATTGGCATTGAGTGGGGTAAGGGTGATTAGGTTTTAATGAGATGGTAAGGTGTGCATGATCAGTCGCTAAGGAGGGAGTAGAGGTATCTTATACTTGTGGGTTAAGGTGGGGGGATAAAGAGGAGGACGCAAAGGAGGCTTTGGATTGGGAAGAAGGGCGGCAATGAGATATAGCTGTAGTCCAGGAATAGTCAGGGAAGCAGATAATTTAGTTAAAGTGTCTCAGCCTAATAAGGGAGCTGGGCAGGTGGGGATAACTAAAAAGGAGTGCTTAAAAGAGTATTGTCTATGTTGGCACCAGAGTTGGGGAGTTTTAAGAGGTTTAGAAGCCTGGCCGTCAATACCTACAACAGTTACAGAGGCAAGGGAAACAGGCCCTTGTAAAGAAGGTAATGTGGAGTGGGTAGCCTCCATATTGATTAAGGGGACGGACTTACCTTCCACTGTGAGAGTTACTCGAAGCTCGGCGTCTGTGGTGGTCTACAGGGCTTTTGAGGTGATCAGGCAGCATCAGTCTTCAGCTGCTAAGCCGAGGAGTCAGTCAGAGAGCCTTGGGCCAGAGTTCCAGGGGCTCTGGGAGTGGCTGCCAGGTGAGTCGAACAGTCTGATTTCCAGTGGGGTCCTGCACAGATGGGACACAGCTTAGGAGGAATCCTGGGCTGCAGGCATTCCTTGGCCTGGTGGTCAGATTTCTGGCACTTGTAGCAAGCTCCTGGGGGAGGAGGTTCTGGAGGAATGCCTGGCTGCTGTGGTTCAGGCGTTTGGAAGTTCTTGTGTGCTGGAGATGTGGCTGGGGTTTGTCTCACAGTGGAGGCAAGGAATTGCAACTTTTTTAAATTATTGTACACCTTGAAGGTGAGGTTAATTAAGTCCTGTTGTGGGGTTTGAGGGCCAGATTCCAATTTTTGGAGTTTTATTTAATGTCGGGAGCAGATTGGGTAATGTATATTGAGAATAAGACGGCCTTTTGACCTTTTAGGGTCTAGGGCTGTAAAGCTTCTCAGGGTTGCTGCCAAACGAGCCATGAACTGGGCTGGATTTTTATATTTGATGAAAAAGAGCCTAAAAGCTTCTGATTTGGGATAAAGAAAAAGGAGCATTAACCTTGACTATGCCTTTGGCTCCAGTCACCTTTTTAAGAGTAAATTGCTGGGCAGGTGGGGGAGGGCTAGTCACTGAACGAAACTGTAAGCCGGACCAGGTGTGAGGAGGGGAGGCAATAAAAAGATTATAGGGTGGAGGAGCGGAGGCTGAGGAAGAATTGGGACCTAGCTTGGCCTGGTGAGGAGGGGAGAGGTCAGATGGGTCTGTAGAAAAGGAAGATTAGAAAGACTCAGCGATGCTTGGGGTTGGGACTGAGGGGACAGGTGGGAGGGAAAGAAGGAAGATTTGGGACGAGTTGCACTGGGCACAGAGACTAGGAAGGGACTGATGTGTAAAAGAATGCCTGGACATCAGGCACCTCAGACCATTTGCCCATTTTACGACAAGAATTATTTAGATCTTGTAGGATGGAAAAATTGAAAGCGCCGTTTTCTGGCTATTTGGAACTACTGTCAAGTTTGTATTGGGGTCAAGCGGCATAGCAGAAGAAAATAAGACACTTAGATTTTAGGTCAGGTGAGAGTTGAAGAGGTTTTAAGTTTTTAAGAACACATGCTAAGGGAGAAAGAGGAATGGAAGGTGGAAGCTTGCCCATAGTGAAGGAGGCAAGCCCAGAGAAAAGAGTAGAGACACAGAGAAGGGGTGGGGGTTTCTTGCCCTCCAGAAAAGCAGAGAAGGGGTCGGGGTGCAGAGATACGAGTTCGGGGCATGGAAATAAGGGATTGGGGCACAGAGATACGAGGTTGGGGTACTTGCCTCTCCTCCAGAAAAGCAAAGAAGGGGTAGAGACATGGAAAGAAGGGGTTGGGATACTTGCCTCTCCCCTAGAAAAGTGGGACTTGCCGCTGAGGGGTAGGAGAAAGGGTTGAGGGGTTCTTGCCCTTGCCCCAGAAAATCAGAGAAGGGGTAGAGACACAGAGAGAAAGGGTTGGGGTACTTGCCCCTCCCCCAGAAAAGCAGGACTTGCCGCTAAGGGTGAAGGAGAAGGGGTTGAGGGGTACTTGCCTCTCCCTCAGAAAAGCAGAGAAGGGGTAGAGACATGGAGAGAAAGGGTTGGGTTACTTGCCCCTTCCCCAGAAAAGTAGGACTTGCCGCTAAGGGTGAAGGAGAAGGGGTTGAGGGGTACTTGCCCCTCCCCCAGAAAAGCAGAGAAGGGGTAGAGACACGGAGAGAAGGGGTTGGGGTACTTATCCCTCCCCCAGAAAAGCGGGACTTGCTGCTAAGGGTGAAGGACCAAGGCAGGCATCCCTGTGTGGTCTGACACCTTTGAAATGTGGGTGAATAATCAGAGAGGTGTCCCTGCAATGATTAAAAACCAAGGGAAGCCTGCCTTCTCAGTCCGTGACCGGCTCTGGAGTTTTGGGTCCACGGATAAAACTTGTCTCTTTTGTCTCTACCAGAAAATGAAAGGAATTGAAATTAAGAGAAGGGAGAGATTGAAGTGTAGCGCCAAGATTGAAAGGAGAAAGAGGTTGAGGGATAGTGAGGGAAGTTGGAGAAGAGAGTAAAAAGAGGCCACTTACCGGATTTGAAATTGGTGAGATGTTCCTTGGGCTGGTCGGTCTGAGGACCTGAGGTCATAGGTGGATCTTTCTCATGGAGCAAAGAGCAGGAGGATGGGGGATTGATCTCCCAAGGGAGGTCCCCCGATCCAAGTCACGGCACCAAATTTCATGTGCATCCGTGTGAAGAGACCACCAAACAGGCTTTGTGTGAGCAACATGGCTGTTTATTTCACCTGGGTGTAGGCGGACTGAGTCCGAAAAGAGAGTCAGTGAAGGGAGATAGGGGTGGGGCTGTTTTATAGGATTTGGGAAGGTAATGGAAAATTACAGTCAAAGGGGGTTGTTCTCTGGTGGGCAGGGGCGGGGGTCACAAGGTGCTCAGTGGAGGAGCTTCTGAGCCAGGAGAAGGAAATTCACAGGGTTAATCACTCAGTTAAGGTGGGGCAGGAACAAATCACAATGGTGGAATGTCATCAGTTAAGGCGGGGCAGGGCCTTTTCACTTCTTTTGTGATTCTTCAGTTACTTCGGGCCATCTGGGCATATGTGTGCAAGTCACAGGGGATGCGATGGCTTGGCTTGGGCTCAGAGGCCTGACAGAGCTGAACAATGATAACACATGGACACAGGAAAGGGAACAACACACACTGGGGCCTGTCAGTGGGGGCTGTGGGAACAACAGCATCAGAATAAATAGCTAATGCATGCTGGGCTTAATACCTAGGTGATAGTTTAACAGGGGCAGCAAACCACCTTGGTACACATTTACCTATGTAACAAACCTGCACATCCTGCACATGTATCCTGGAACTTAAAATAATAATTTTTTTAAAAAAGGTATTGTTCACTACCCGATGAAAGATAGTGAAGAGGGTGTTGACAGAAACAGAGTAGTTATTGTCTGAGATCTTATGGAGGTTGAGTCCATGGGATTTAAAATCTATTTGTATATGAGGAAAAAGGAAGATATTGCAATCAAGGTGGCCCAGAGTTGAAATGAGGTGATCTGAGAAAGATTTTGGGCTTAGTTTGTGGTGCTTGCAGGGCATTTTGGTGGAGGTGGACAGAAAGTAGTTTTGGTTCAGTATTTTTTTTTTTCAACTTTTATTCTATAGTCAGGAGGTACATGTGCAGGTTTGTTATGAAGACATATTGTGTGATGTTGAGGTTAGGAGTATGAATGAATCTGTCACCCAGGTGGTGAGCATAGTACCCAATAGGTAGTTTTTCAACCCTTGTCCCCTCCTTCCCTCCTGTCTTTTGTATTCCCCAGTGTCTCTTGTTGCCATCATTATGTCCATGTGTACTCAGTGTTTATCTCCAACTTATAAGTGTGCACACGCAGGATTTAGTTTCCAGAAAGCAGTTTTGAAGTGAGAGAAAGCTAGTGATGTAGGTGATGGTCAATATATAGATTAGCTTACAAATGGTAACTAAAGCCAGGCTACTGTAGGATACTTTTTGGGGAAAGAACAGAGAGATACGGAAACCAAAGATCAAAATTTTGGAAACTTCTGTTTAAGAAGCAGGATGACGAATCATAGTCCACAAAGTTATCCTAGAAGGAGCAATTTGAGAGCAGCATCATAGAAAGCACTGGAGGAGAACTGTAATGAAAACAATGCTACTGAGCAGCTGAAGATGAGGATGGAAGAAAAAAAATCTTAAGTCTGGGTGCTTATTACTGTTATGGGTGTTATTAAGAAATTATTTTAGGCAGATAGAGAGGAAAAGGGGTCCATGGAAAATTTCCATTTCTTTTAAAGCAGCTCCAGAAACGTTTCTCCTCTAGCAGTAAAGCCTAGGCTCTCACGGCTGGCAAACTTTGATATGCAAAGGCAGGCCATTAGAAACTGGGTCCACCCAAACATGGCGATTCCAGCTCTCTTCTCCTTGCCCTTGCTCCAACATGTGCCTGACAACATGGCCGCCCACACATTTCCGCATGTGGAGCACTTCATTTGCATATTAAAAGGTGAGGGTGGGAGGGCCATTTTTTTCCTGGGGTATGTGAGTGACATGCCTGAGCAAACTAATCCCCTAAGCCTTATGCCACGTTCCCCACCACACCCCCCGCTGCCTGCCGCACTAGGGGTTTCCTCTATCGGCTTTGGAGCCCCACTCCCTCTGTCTCTATAGGAAGGTGCTTCTTCCTTCCTTCTTACCTATTGAACTCTCCAATCCTTAAAACCACTCTACGTGTGTCCCCGTCATTTTATCCAAACCAGCCCAAGGACTAAGAACCCTGGTGTTCCTCCACTCATTGGAGTCCAATCATTACTATACCACTGACAGATTCACTAGATCAGTAGAGAAAATGGTGAAAGATAAAGCAAGGAAACTGCTCTTGTTATGATAGTTTTTGTTTGTTTGTTTGTTTAGAAATCTACCAGTAAAAGGGAGCTCACAGATTAGAGAGTGGTGGGACATAAGCAAACATGTTAGCATGTTTGCAGTCTTAGGTAAAGGATGTAGTTGAGAGAGAGAGAGAGATGTGTGAGGGAAGAGGCAGAGTATGTAATTACTGGGACAAGTTCTCAGAGGATGTGGAAGTGATGGAATGAGGTCACCCATGAATGAGCCCTGAAGTTACTTCATCTGAGATGGGAAAAAGAGAGGAGAAGATAAATGAAAAAGCTGAGGAATTTTGAGAAAAACACTGAGAAAGCTCATTGCCACCAGTCTTGATCTCATTTAAGTAGAAGGTGAGATTATTTGCAGAATAGTAAGTGTGGATTGGGCTGTTCTTAAAGGAATAAACAAGTTTATGCAAATGCAGCCAACTTAGAGACAAATGAAAACATTAGATAGTAGCAGCCAGGGAGTGGCTGGCTTCTGTTGCGTTTCTGATCGAACTAGTTGTCTTGGTATAGAGATCTCTCCAGCATAACCAGAATCCAAGAGCAGAAAAACTGTCCTGAGATATTTATCTGGGTTAGGGAATTAGCATTTGCCTTCCTTCCTATTGCTGCTTCCAAACTTCTTTCAGTACCTTCAAAAACTCAACTATTTTCTTTATCTTTATTGTGCTTGTCTACCAATGCCAACAGATCTGCTTCTGTGATTTTAGTACATGGGTCACAGTCTTTCAGTCTTTCCCTCCTTACATCTTGACCTCATCCTCCCACTGTTTCATGATCCATATTAATAACACTCTGGCTTCAAAGTCCCTTAACTTCCTCAGTTTTAATTAACTATATCTTCATTCCACCCAAGCAACCTATGAACACACCTACATCTCACATATCACTGTCATTTTTCATAGCTGCTTCTCTACCCTACTCTTGAGTTGTGGCTTCATATTTAAGAGTCACAATTAAGAAGTAAAAATATATTTTAATTTTTGGGTAAGAGATGGCACTGAAATTTGATATCACACATTTTAAGCTGAAAAATAATTATTCTGCAATACAGGTCATCTAAAAGTCCAACACCTTTTTTTCTGAATGACAATATGTAAGTATGATGATTGGTGAATATAAGTGAATGCATGTTATTTGTAAAAATGTTCTGAATTTCAGTATGAAGACTACATTATCCATTTTAATAATAGCTGTTATTTAATAGATGCCAACGCTCTGGAAGTTTAATAAATACCTACAGTGTAATAACAGTCACCATTTTAATTAATAGGCATTCAATACACATTGTGTCAGCTCCACCTAGTAGTACTGCTTGTAGATAACAAAATTACGACTCAGAGATGCACAATCATCTAGCTAATTAATACAGAATCATTATTTGCACCTGGATCTGATTCTAGATCTTGGGATTTTACCTTATAATTCTTATATATAAATAACATTCCATTGGAATGTTTATTTTAAAACAGTGTAAACATTTCTAGAACATTACTAATCTTTGGGAACTTAAACTGAATATATATATCAAATAGTATTAGATAGGTGTTTTAACCAAAAATACTGGCTTCGTAGTTGTTCAGTTAGAACTTTAACATTGCCACTTACAAATGATGGGATCTTAGGAATTTAAGCCAAAGTTTTGGTGAGTCTCAGTTTTCTACATCTGAAAAGTTTCTTCTCCCACTTACAAATGATGGGATCTTAGGAATTCAAGCCAAAGTTTTGGTGAGTCTCAGTTTTCTTCATTTGAAAATGGGAAAAAAATAAGATCATACATTTGCCATTAGGTTGCTGTTAAAATAATTAAATGAAGTAATATATGCAAAATGCTTAGCACATCTAAAACATAGTAACTACTCAATATGAACCAGGTATTAATATTATAACTATTAAAATTATTATTGTATTCTTCTATTTTTTAGAGTTTTAAATATTTCCAAGCATCAGTTAATTTTACATGTCATCAGAATACTTCACTGAGACAGCAAATAAAGACATTCCTGACTAAAATATATTTCATAATATTAAACATATTAAAAGTATGTTTTTTAAATCACAATATTTTATTGGTGCTTTAGTTTTCACCACAGGTTGCTAATTCCTTGATAATATAGACTATTTTCCCTCATATTAAACAATTTCCTTATATCTTTTTTTCTTTCGTCTACATGGCAAAAAGGAAAATGAAAGATCTTAATATTCAGATATCAAAGTCACACAGTTCTAATCCCCAGCCTGGATGTTTCCTCCATGTGCTGGATTGCAGAGCCGTGGTTGGGAGGCTGGCTGCTTTAGCAACCATGCATGCGACCTACCATGAGTGCTTTCATCCTTGTACCCAACACCTTGTAATGAGTCCCTGGTGCTGCTTGGTTAGGAACTGGGCTGCCATCCTCCTGTTGGCATGCGCTGCTTTGAGCAGGGTTGCTTCTGAGGATGTGTTTGTTAGGGGGAACATTTGCTAATACCTGATGAAGTATCACCAACATTAAGCTTCTTGAAAATGAGCTTGCTTTGTTAGTCTAAGGGCTGTGGAACCTCTGGGATTAGGGTGCATAGTAATGACTAAGTTTGGTTCCAAACCAGCTGTCTGTGACAAAGGGCTGGGGAGTTGAGACTTCCCCGAGACACACTCTGCACAGAAAAAGAGGAGGGAAAGAAATAAGCCTCTCAATGCAGATTTCCTTCTGTGTCAGTGACAGTTTACCCCCAAGGGGCTCACAGCCTGGCAATTTTTTTCAATGAGTATTTTGCTTGTCTCACATTATCTCCAGATGAAAACTAACACCTTAACTATGAGTAGCATTTATCATGAAGGTTAAAACCAGTGTACAGTGACAAATTGAAGAAAATTGTCTAGAACTTTCTGAATTTTATGACTCCAAAAAGCTTCTAGGTCAGTAGTTCTAAAAAAAAAGTAAAACAGAATCACTAGGAAACTTGTTGGTATCTCAAATTCTGGGTCTTACCCTCAGAGATTCTGACTCAGTAGACTTGACACAGTGCCTAGAAATCTGCATTTTAACATGTAATGATTCCCATGCAAATGTTCTTAGGAAAAACACTTCAAGAAATACAAATTTCTAGAAAGAGACTTGGAATTTAAGCCTTAGTCACCATCATGGCCCTGTTCTATTCAGACAGTAAGGTCCACATGAAAACTCCAACTGTTCATTCTCTTTCCATGCATGGATTATCATTCATGTTTCTATCTGTTAAGTCCATAACTCATTTCCTTTCCATGCATTGAATTGTTGGAAGCTTTGCATTTGCCCTCCAGATCCACTCTCCACCTTCTCTGGCCTGCCTTGTACGGATTGCAGGAGGCCAGCCTGAATGGACTGCATTGGCTAGCATCCCTTGCCCTCAGAAGGCCAGGGGAGCATGAAGTCAGGGTTTTTATTTTCCCATGCTCCCATCCAACTTAGCCACAGTTTGTCAGTGGCTGAATTCCTCTACTAAATACTTTGCAGGAGGCATTATAGCTATAGCGCATGCTGGATTCTGGTAACCGCTTCCTTATCTTGCCTCTTCAGGTCAAGGTGACTGACAACTTCTTAAAATTGTCAACACAGGGAGCTGCACTGCCCCCATTTATGTAACTCTGCCCATATTTTGTTAAGGGTCTCATGGGTTAAGCTCTCTTCAGATACCCATTTTGAGTGTGACATGATTTTCTTGAGGGGACCCTGAACAGCATATTGAGTAGCCTTACAGTGGCTTCTGAGAAGGCCTTGGAAAATAAAGGATAGTAATGTCATGGCTTTTTGTTCCTGTAGTTCAATGAGTGGGAGGCAGTGGCATCCAGTGGCTTTTCCACTCCCATAGTTCAGCAAGCAGAAGAGAGTGTTACAGTTCTTTTCACTCCTGCTGTTCAGTGGGTTTCAGGTTCTTGTCCTGTGACCAAGAGGAATGAGGCACACTGACACCACACCAGAGAGTGAGCAAGGCAGAGTACAATTTCACTGAGCGACAGAAAACCTTTTGACAAAAAGAGGAGACCTGAAGTGGGGAGCTGTCTGTGAGGCTGAGTCCAGGGTTTTCATGGGTTTAGAATGGGGAGTGCGTGCTGATTGTTTCATGGGTGATCTTGGAAAAAGGACCATTCAATTGGTTAAAAGGCATCATCCAGAAGGAACCAATCAAGAGACAGTGGGTAACATGGGGATAGAAGTTCTCACTCTGGTCAGGGATTCTTCTGGAACTGGCAGTTTGTTCCTCAGGTTGAAGGTTGAGCTCTACCAGGAACCCACCCCTGTCTGCCTAGGAATTTGCCTGTCTTCTGTCACCATCAGTAATAAATCATTATTCTGAATTGGGACAGGTACAATGATAGGACTATGTACAGAGTGATAAGGGAACATAGTGGGGAGAAAAAAGAAAGACTTACCAGTGTGGTGACTGCCATAGGGCCCTGCATAATATTTAGAAAGTAGAAAAGCAGGGTCCACAGAGAGTTCCCCTGAACACTCATTGCCATCACTTTACCTCAAGTCACTGTCAGCTTTCACAAAAGCTAACACTACATTTTCCCGTCATTACCTCTTATGCTCCTTTAGTCCAAGCTCCACACAGCAGAGGAGTGATGATTAAGAAATGTAGAGAATAATGTATACATATAAGTGTTTATTAAAGAAAAATATTTCTGAGTTTTTGTAGTTAAAAGATGGAGTACATAGGAGGTAGTGGTAGAAAGTAATGCACACATTCTAAATGAGAACTTAGACACTGAAAAATCACAGACAGTTTTAGAAAAGAGGAGTGGTATGATCAGATCTTTACTTCAGAAACTCTGGAAGCAATGTGAAATATGAACTGGAGGAAGGAGAGACCAAAGAAAGGAAAAATGTATTAGGAGACTCTTCTCACATGATGGATTCTTACTGATCTTATAGAAGTGACTGTTGTTCTTTGGAAACAGCCTAAAGCTGATCATTTTTCACAACATTATTACCTTCTGGTAAAGAGTGGGAAAGTCCCTATGGACAACTCACACTTAAGATTTTACAATTGCCTAGGCTAATTGTCCTGAGATAATGTACAATTCTAAATTGCTTTAATGTATTTTAGAGAAAAATTTGTCACAACAATATTTAAATCTCAAAATTATCACATAAATGTCACAATTGTATTTTAAATCTAATTTTTTGAATTTGTTTTCTTTTTTCTTTATGTGTGTATAATTTAATTAAATTATTTTCAATAAATTTTGATGTACATATTAAATGATTAAATGCACATTAAAATAATGATAATTTAGGTCACTACAATCTGATGAAAAGCCTCAAGTGTGAAATATTGAGCCTGAGTTATTTCTGAGCATAGTTAATTATTTACTTAAAAAATAAGTGGGGAGAAAGTTTATTTAAATTTGGCACCAATACAATAGAAAGTAGTGTCATATTCACTGCCAAAAATCCCTCAAATTAATCTTGATTTTTTATTATTAAAGAAGCAAGTGCAAATTAAAGAGGTGAAGAGTGAAACCAAATTTAATTGACCTCATCATGTGCTATCAAATCATATTATAAAAATCTTTTCTTATTGGAAATTGTCTCTTGTGTCCTTTAATTATATGCAATTTTTAAAGCAGCTTTATTCATATAGAATTGACACACAATAAACTGAATGTATTTGAGGTAAACAACTTGAAAAGTCCTCATGAATATGTCCACTCATGAAGCTATTATGATAATCAAGATGATGAACATTTCCATTGCCCCTAAAATTCTTCCCATGCCTTCTGGTAATCTTTTCCTTCCAACTCTCCCTGACCCCCATACTGTCTCCAGAAAACCACTGATCGGTTTTCTGTCACTACAGATTAGTTTATATTTCCTTGAATTTTATTTAAATGGAATTATATAGTATATACTATTTTTTGTCTAACTTCTTTCAGTGGCATAATTATTTTGATTCATTTATGTCATGTAAAGGAATATTTAATTCCTTTTTATGGATGAGTAGTATTCCACATTGATATACCATGATTTCTTTATTCACTTATATGTTGATGAATATTTGGGTTGTTTTCATTTTGGGGTTGTTACAAATAAAATCTCTCCAAACATTTGTGTACAAGTCTTCACATGGGCATATACTTCCATTTGCCACAAATAATACCTAGGAGTAGAATGGCTTGATCATATGGTAGGTATATGTTTTAATTTTTGTTACATTATCAAATTGGTTTCCAAAGTCAATGTGCCATTTTAGATTCCCACCAATCATGTATGAAAATTTCAGTTCCTGTATATTATTGCCAACACTTGGAATAATCTGTTCCTTTCCTCTCCTTGGGAACTCTAACTGCATGCATATTAGGTGGATTAACATTGTCACATGGCTTATTGAGGTTTTGTTTATTTTTTAAATTATTTTTTCAGTACTTTCATCTTAGTAAGTTTAGTTCAGGTCTTTTATATCATCATATCTCTACTTACCTTTTTAAACATGTGTAATACAGTTATAATAAACTATCTTAATATCCCTATGTGCTAATTTTAGTACCTTTGTCAGCTCTGGGTTGACTTCAATCATATTTTTTTTTCCTCTTTATGAGTCTTATTTTCCTGCTTTTTTGCATGGCTGGTATTTTTTAATTAGATGCTAGAGGTAATTATACCTTATTAGCTGCTGCATATTTTTGTATTCTTATAAATATTTTTGTGCCTTGTATTACTTAAAAATAGTTTGATCCTTTTGGGTTCAGCTTTTAAGATTTATTAAAGCAGAACGCAAATAATGCTAAGTTTAAGGAGCTCCACTACTGAGGCAAAACCCTTCTAATTATTCTACTCAATGCCTTGTGAATTTTGAATTTTCCATCACCTGGTTTTGTGGGCGTTCCAGGCACAATTATCTCTACTCTTAGATGTCTTTTCCCTTGGCCTACTGTAGTTTCCTCTGATGCTGTGTGGCTCAGAACCCAAGTGAGTATGTGAGGCAGACTCTGCATATCTCCAAGGTTCTCTCTCTGTTCAGTTCTCTCCTTTGTGGTACTCTTTTCTGTGACCTTTGGCTGCATTGACTGCAGACTCTCAGCTCCATCATCTCAACTCAGGTCATCTGCTGAGTTACTCCTGGGCTCCCCATTTCTGCACCCTAGGCTAGAACCTGTCTCAAGGCAGTGAGTCAGGGCAATCAAAGGGCTTGCCTCATTTGTTTCCTGTCTCTCAAGGATCAATGTCCTTTTTCATCTTAAAAACCATTGGTAGTGGTTGTTATTCCATGGGGAAGGTAAATCTGGTCCTGTTACTTTATCTTGGTGAGAAGATGAAGTTTCCAATTATATTATAATGGATGATTTTCCTTATTTAAGTATATTTCTAGCATTTTGGTTTTCTTGAAAAATTACTTCATGTGTGAGGAAAGAGAATTTAATTGCAAGAAGTATCTATGACTCCAAGCTTAATTTCACAAAGTGTTAGAAATAATACAACATTGATTTTTTCTAAGATATTACAGATTAATAAAAATTTCTGGTCTATTCTCTGGAATATTCTATTTCTTTTTTCCAAAACCCCACTAATAATGAGTAAAATATATTGAAGAAATATCTATACTATAACCACCTTTATGACTACATTTAATTTAAATATAAAATATGTGCTATTGAAATACACATGGACTTGATACTGTATTATTATTATATATTATATAATTATATATATTATTATATTTTAGAATGTATTCATCATTCTGAACAGAACAAATCCACCATTTAAAAGCCATCTATATCTCTTGACATACAGGTATAGCCATGCCCATAAGAACAGCTTTATAGGGACATCAAATAGTCCAGATAAGCACTGGAAGAGGAACATGAGGCATGGAGGCCATTTGGGTAAATTTTATAAATATCATCTTGTTAAGGTCCTCATTAGTCTGGTGTGGTCAGTATAATGCATGTGAATCACTCTCACCATCCATCAGTATTAATTGTCAAGGTTCAAATTCTAGCTGTGCTGGTTACTAGTTATATGATTCTGGGCAGCTGACTCAGCCTCTCTTTGGCTCATATCCTCATCTGTAAAATAATGTTAATGACATATATCTTAGAACAATGCCTGAAAAATAGTAAGTACTATAGAAACTTTTATTGAAGTAAACAATTAATGAATGCAATTGATATTGAACAAAGCTTGCTGGAAGAGGGACATCTGATAATAGTAACGCCTGGTAAGTTTACTGGGTTTAGAAGCATAGGGGACCCATGGTTTGCTTCCTAGAGGAACTCTGGGGTAGCAGCAAACCTGATGCTATGGTCCTGTAAAGCAGTATGGAACGACAATGCAGTATGTCTTGAGAAGAGGACCTGAGATAGCTCTCAAGTCTCCTGCAGCCATGAGCATCATGAGAGAACACCCAATAGTTATTTTGCTCCCAAGACGTCCAGAGGAAGTGTTAAAAGTCAAATAGGTACCAAAGGGACACAACAGGTACAGGGTGGACTGTGTGGCTGGAAGCCACAGAAGAGTCTCAGGAATCAGCCATGAAGATAGTAAGACCAAGGTCAGTGTCCAAAGCCTAGGCTGGCTAAGCCACATCTCTCCAGTGCAATGCAGGCAGGGCCCAATGACTTTGGGCCAAGCACTTTCACACTTGTCGTGAGAGCACATAGGCCACCACGCCAAGGGATGAAAGACAAAAAGGCCCAGAGAAAAATGAGACAACTGGAAGGTATTTACTCCAAATGTTTTGTTTGACTAATCAGGAATTTGACTACATTTTCCTAAATGTGACTAGATCGTTTTCTATACTCAGGCAGGAATTAGGTTTCAAGGAAAAAAATAAGTTCAACTATGACAAAATAAAGTTGGACTTTTGAACCTCTGAATTTTTTGACTGAAATTTGTACTATTAACTTTTAAACTATTACTACCGACGTACATAATAACATATGAAACTTTAAGCTTTGAAGCTCTAAAAGTACCATCAGGAGACTTGAAGTCTAGTCATGATTTTGCTGCTTACAATTGTGATAGCTTGAGTAAATCCTTTAATCCAAAGACTTGTGTTTTTTTAATGGTAAGATGTGCATTATAACTCCCACCTCAGATTTCCTGTGAGCATCAAATGTGTTTATGTAAAAGTGCTTTGAGAAACTACAAAGTATAATATGATCACAGGAAATTATTATGAATTAGAATATGAACAATGGTGAGTTTCAGAGGCATCATGGAATGCAGATTTATATCAAAATAAGTTTCCCCTAAGGGGGTATGGAAGTGAATATGTAGTGAATGAAGGAAGTCAATATACAGAGATGTGAGTGAATATATTAGTCTTCAAAATAAGAATAAAATTATTTAACCTTTTTAAGTCTGAACTTACTCATCTACAAAATTAATTTATGGTAAAGATTAGAAATTACCGGTGTTAAGGGACTTGGGCATATCACCAATAAATGATAGCTTGCTCTTTTTCTCCTTCCTTCCTTCCTTCCTTTTCCTTTATCTTTCTTTCTTCTCTGTCTCCCTTCTTCCTTTTGCTCCTCTTTTTTCCTTTCCTTTCTTCTTTCTTCTCAAAGGTTGTTAACCACTTTAACAAGACAGGTGGAGAGGTGGGAGTAGATAAAAATGTGGGAAAAGTCAGGAATGTGCACAGAGGTAAGTCACAGGATTGTAATGTTCAGTGATTAAACACTGTATATCATCTTTGCAATTGTCATGTGAGGACAAAATCAAAACAATCATTTGGGGAGAAGGAGAACTGAATTAGTTCCTCTCTCTGTATCTTGGGAAGGCATGGGCAATATATGGAGTAATCTTTAAAACAAGCTGTAAGGACGAGGACTGCATAGACTCCACAATGATAAGGCTTGAATGGTTCACTGTGGCATCTGATCAGTCTCAGCACCTGAACAGGAATAAGCTTACAATCTAGTGGGACAGAATTTAAAAAAAAAAAAAAACTCCCCTCACCACTCAAAAAAACCCTTAAATTATTCTTCATATTATTAAAAGGAAAAAGGGTAATTTTTGTTCTATTACCATGAAATAAAAGAAAGGGTTCAGATCAAAGGCAAGCTAGAAGGGTGAGATTGGGACAGAGTAGAGATCATAGTGTCACTAAAACAAACACACAAAAAATCCAATGAGCAGAGTGTTTACTCAAACTGAACAATATAGGACTTCCCCCTGCAATTAAGTAATTGTGAAGGGTAGCATGTAGAGATGAAGCCCCATGAAGGGTCAGGCTTGAATCAAACGACCAAGGGGGATGAGACTTGGCCCTCTTGGGAATCAGCTAATTAAAGATGGTTTTTGTACCCTGTAAGAAAAATCTGTTTCTGAAAAATCTGGAGCATAGGAAAAGGCAAGGGGGAGCTAGGAAGCCATGATTGGTCTAAAGGCTAGCAAGAAGAATTTTGTGCATCTTGAGCAGATTAGATTTTTACAAGCAAACTGGAATAATAATAATAATAATGGCATCTATCTCTATCTACCTACCTATCTTCACAGCTATCTAATAATTTTCATATAAATTATGTCATTTTAATCTCAGGACTATCCTGAGAAGTAGATAAAGCAGATGTCATTAGAGTCAACTTGCAAGTTAAAAATAAAAGGTTCAAGGAGAGCCAGTGACTTGCTCACAAGGTCACATCATAAATAATGAAGTGGGGACTAGAATTCAGGGCTTCTGATAAACAATCCAAGTCTTCCTAATACAACACATGGCTTGCATCTCTACTCAGATACAAAACATGACTTTAAATAAGAGAATTACCTAAAATCTATGGAGAAAAACTAAACACATCAGGCTAAATTTAGATACTAGGATTAGATCTTATATTTAGACGTTGCAGTATATCCCAGTTTCAGACCTCTTTTTTATATTTTAATGTACAGGTCTGTAATGATCTAGATATACTTTGGTTCTCAATTTCCCAATAAAGGAGTTTCCTGAAGTCCTAATAAATGTTTTTATGAAGAATTTCAGCTTCTGCTTCCCCCTGCAACCCCAACCCATACCCTTTTAAGGAGAAAATAGAACTCTTTGCATTGGCATTTTAAATCAAAAAGTACTTAATTAGGAGAAAGACTTCTACTTTGGTGATTTTTTTTTTTTTTTGGCATAGACCTGTGGGAGAAAACATAGCATATCAATAGGTCAAGAATATTTCCCATCCTTGAGATAGTAACCGGATTCATTTGGGACATTAGAGAAATTTCTTGTTTCCAAATATCATTTATGTGGTACCTTAAAATGAGCTGCATTATGAGATTGAGGGATCTTGTCATATTTTAGGGTCATTTTGTCCTCAGGAAACCTACATAGGGAAAATTAAAAAAAAAGGTTTTATCCATTCAGTCTGGTGATGTATACTGTTACTCTATCATCTAATAATTAAAGGCCCTCCAAAAGTTCATGTTTGCATTATAAACTATGCATTTTTCCTTTTCTCTTATTTTAAAATTCTTTGTTCCTAAACTATTAGATTAATTATCTTAAGCTTATAGATATTGCCAGAGGTCGTAAGAAAGGGTTTCCAGAATTACACAATTGAGTCAGTAGAATTACACCGGTTGAGTCAGTAGTTACTACTGGTTCTGAAAATTAAAAGGAGAGGATGATATCCTACTTCAGAGATACATTTCTAGAGACCTAGGAGCCTAGGAAATTCTGGCTGAAGTGTTTACCCTAGATCTGTGCAGTTCTGATCAAGCCTGATTACATCAGGCTGGATTGTGGATGATGCCATATATCCAGGAGGGAGGGTCGTGTCCCCTTTTTATTTATGTTCCATTTCATTTAGTATGCGTAGTGGGCATGGTGCCACTCTGACTTTTAACCCTAATGGAGAGAGCACACAAGTTGACTGGGAACCTCTAGGGAAAAACAAGCTTTAATGATAATTTGAGTGTAAAATCTGGTCTCTGGAAGAAAGGTCACCACATCTGCATAGCCCCTGGAGTCAGGCTTAGAGCCCTGTCTGCCTTCAAATAAAAAAGCATTTTCCTGTGTCTTAAGGCTGCTTTAGTTTGAGGTACAAGGAGCACATGACAGAATCAGGGGAACTGAGTGATGTTTGTGCATGTTTGACTGCACTCTGCATCCTAAGAGAAGACTTTGGAGAAACCCAATCAATACTACAAGCATGTCCTGGACAGCAGCAGTGCTGTTTTCATTCTGTTACAATAATGAATTGAAGTCTCCCAACAGCAGGTATAATAAGCACTACTCAACCCTTGATATTCAATCACCTTTAACTGGTTATATCTATCTAAAATTCACTGTTAACTGTGGTTTTACAATACCCCATTGGCAACCTTTTATGGCTCTCTCTGCACAAAAATGCAAAAACATCAAAAATGCCTCTTAGTGCCATATACTCAGTGCTTCCCTATATTTGCTAAAATGTTTTCCATTTTTTATTTAAAGTCCAGTGGAAGACATTCAGAAATTGTGCACAAAATGAAGTGGTTTTCCCTTCAGTTGGAAATTATTTTTGCCATTACTGTTAGCCTAGAGTTCATATTTTCATCGTCCTAGTTGTGAAGTGATTTCGTGCTATCTAGATGCCCTAAAGCAAACTAATCTTTTACAAATAAAAATGAAGAAACCATTTTTTTTTCTCAAGGCCCACTTGCTTTTTTGGGGGGTTGTGGTTTATGGTTACTTTTTATTTCCTTAAAGCATTCTTTTTGCTATAGAATAAAAAGCAGATTAACAAATGCAGTTTATGCACAGTAGAAATGAGCAAGTGTTTCCAATTTACTGTTTTAATGCAAATGAGACAAGAAATTAAGGGCTCATGAAAAATCCTGGTAAAAATCCACATTCTAGAGAGAATCCAGGTTTAGAATTCACAGTCTGAATATGGATAACTACATCTCCTTATTTTACTAGCTTTCATTTGGTTTTCAATTTAGTTTTAAATACGAAGAATCTATTGTTTCAGTGTTAATTCAACATTTGAACAAGAACATCTAGTCAATTCAAGCTGTTATAAGGTCATATCAAATTATATTGCTAAACTTTAAGATTTCAATTTGATCAGTTCTGTGTGCTTCATGCAAATGAGATACATTTGACCCAAATAGGATCTTGGATAGGCAGGCAAGCTAGTGGCCTACATAACTACCTTTGCCTTACTCACCAAAATTGGCTTATACTCATTTTTCGTTTATTTTCCATTTGATCCAAGGGCTTTGTGGATGATTTCATTGGATTCTTTGAAACATTCATTTTTTTTTTCTGTGTAAAATGCAAAACAAAGCAACAATAATAGAAGCCCAAACTGGTTACCATAATATAACAAGCATGGCTTAAAATTTTTTAAGGTTTCATTATGCAGAATCAGCAAAAGTATATAATCTATTTTTATCTAAATACCAAAACATTTGCAATATGTAAGAAAGATAATAATGGAAGTTATTCTCATGATAAAATTCATAACTTTCACTATTCCTAAAAATATGAATACATGACTAGTTCAATAATGATAAATATTTTATACATAGATTAGATTTTATAGATAAGATTTAAAATAATAAACCTTTTTTTTATGTCTTGCATTCAGAATAGGCAAACTTCTATTCCAGAACAAATAAAAGCTAAAGGTTTCTATCAAAGCAAGGGTGGTAAAACTAAACTTAGCTTTTATAATAAAAATACTGACAAATTCAATTTCCCATTCTACTACCAACTAATTCTGAAATGTTTTGAAGTAGCACCAGGCTGTGGAGTAATGCAATCTGCAAAATATCACCAATATTTTCAAACATGTGGTAATGATTTTTCTCACACTTAAAAGTGGCCCCAATTCTAACAATAAGCACAGTTCTTTAGAAAAAAATGTTAACTTTGACAGGTTTGCTAGCAATTTTTCTATTATGCTTAACGAGAGATCACTAACTTTTTCTAATACTTCAAAAGATCACTGCATTTTGATGAAGAGGTGTTTGCAATCATGATAAAACCTTATTGCCCAAGCAAATAATGGGGATACTAGGCTAATATGCTAACGAACCCGGCTACCTATATTTAAGATAATTATAATGTTGACAATTATTAATTCCCAAACTGTGGAATCTTTATAACCTATTGTATGAAACAGATTAAGAAATATCTTATTCTCACAATATCTACAGTGTAAAACGTAGACTTTAGTCTACATAAAACAAACTCAAAATTATGAGCATGCATATTCCTGATAAAGCAAGAATTATTTCTCTTAAATTGTAAAGAAATCTAAATTCTATGAAAATTTGAAAATGCATTACAATTATTCTCAAGGTATTATAAAAATTTCAAAATATTATATATTATAAAAATTATTAAATTTTATTATTGAACTGATACAATGACATCTGTAGCGGTGAAATGAAAGGGTTTAGGAGGAAAAATATTGAGATTCAGTATCATGACCAAATTCCTTGTTTTAATAGAAACACAAAAAATATGTATTTTATATAATAAATTAATGACTAGAAGCATAATAAACTTTTGAAAAATATTTAAGATAAACAATATTTGTCTTTTTGACATGCCTTCATTCAAGATGTGAAGTAAAATTCATTGAGGTTCAGCCACTGTAGAAAAATGTTTCCTAGCTAGAACGTAGAAATGATTTAATAAGTTCTATGAAAAGTCAATTTGCATGAGATCAGCACCTCGCCTATAACGGGTAGTAATGGATTGTTGGCTTGATTTTATACCACTTGACATCAGATTACAATACACTGAATAAATGTTAACCTATAATCCCTTTAGTGAAAGCGAGCATTGTTTGTCTTCCCTTGTAGAGACCACATTGATTTTCTTTTATTGGATGCTCAACCACTGCACCTTAGGTTGATTACTTTGAATTAAATGTGCAGAGAACATTTTTATTATTCTAAAACAGCAATCTTAATATTAAGAAGATGCACTTCCTCCCCATCCCTTTCATACTACAGAATGTATATTCAGCTATATTATTTGGATTTCTTTAGTTTTCCCATTTTGTTTCAAGTCTGCTCTGATGCTGACCTCAACTCTGCCCCTGTGACCCTTGACCCAGATGCATCTGACCAGTCAAGGCTCTGGGGGTGGCAAATTAATAGAAGCCCTGCTTGTTAATTGCATAAAAGAAAAGCCAAAGAATTCATCACCTCAGTCATGGCCATTGCTTTCCTTTGACCCCTTCTCCCACAAGGCTTTTGCTGGTGGTCACATCTGTGGTTTTCCTATAGCCTACATATTTGCCATATAATTATTCAGCATCAAACCTTATTAATCAAATCGATGCTGTGTTTTAAATGGAAATTGCAGGATTAATACAAGCATTCATTTCATCCTGAAAATCTTGATGGCTTTAGCATATGGAATCCAATTGGAATATAAAAGAAGGGATGTAGAGACCTGATTGAATTAGGGGAGGCATGGTGCACATTAAATTACATATGCCAGCAGGGTTCCATGCTTTTATAGTAAAATACTGCTTTGGAGTCCATACGTCATATACCTCTTGTGACTTTCTGTTACTCACTAGCACTCTCAAGACAAGCAAGCATATAAAAGGTTTCCATATTTTAAAAACATCTTTTTAAAATATCCAATATGTTTTCCATAGAAAAAAATATGTCCTATGACTATCTCATTGAATCTATAAAAGATTATCTCAAGAAGATATAGCTAAAACTGAGCATATTTTCTATTAAATGGTGCTAGACATCTCTTTGCATAAGGGGAAAGGATCGGTAAATCTATAAAATCAATTTCAATATACAGTTTTTTATTCTAAATGCTTCACATAGAAGGTCAATAAATATTAATTAAATAAATAAAAAGTATTTTATACGAGGCCTGGGAAACTATTCATATTTATTTTACATTATTATACAAAACACTATTTGAGATTGAGACTTGAAGACCAGTGCTACAGCCAGACTGTTATTGACAAGTACCATGAAGATATTAGCAAAGCTCAATAACTTATTCTTTGGGGTTAACCCTGACCTAACGTAATATTAGCATTAGCATATCAATAGCCTAAGGAAATAAGGTCCAATTATGTTCTTTAGTTCTTCAATTAGAAAATTCTGGTATATTCTAGAAGTTATCATTTCTCACAGAGATAGCCTTAGCTCAGTTTTTGTTTTTAGTCTTCGTGAACATGAGAGAAAAAGTGCATGTCTTTGTTTTAACAGCTCTAATATGGTATGAATAAGCTGTTGACACATTTATATGTGACCATTTGAAAGGGATTTAAATACAATGGAATTACAGTAATCATGAAAAGGCAATTACAAAATCTTAAAGCAATTTAGTTAAGGGTGCTCAGTAATGGGGAAGTGGTATTGCCTCATTCAGAAGTTAGGTATCCTACAAGATACTCTTCCTAAAATTTCCTAATTCCATGCCACTTAAAGCTCAAGCTTTGTCTCACCTAAAACAAATTTAAAATCACTTTTGAGATTGGCTATAATTTTGTTTTGTTTTAACAAATGAAACATAGATCTTTCTACAAAGGCCTCTGATAATCCCCATGTATAATTATGTGAACTAGGAAAAGGTATGCCCTTTAGACAAACACAACACCCTGCACGCCCAGCTTGGTAAGATTTTATCTTACCAAGGTATAGACAAAGAAACACCTTGCCAGGGTGCATTTCATGTCTCCTTATGCTCACGGTTGGGTATCCTTGTATGGTGAACAACTTGTACCAGTATATGCGGCAGACTTGCTTTCTATGAATATCCAAAGCTGTATGGAAAATCTGCCTTGCTTTCCATCAGTTACCATTAGACCACATTTAGTATCTGTTTAAAAGTCGACTTGAATTTACATAAAATTTAGGAACGCAATATGGAGAAAATTCTGATAAAGGAGAATTTTTCTATGGAATATGTCTAAATGCTGATTATCTGCCAGACTTGACTTTGTCACTCTTAGAGAATGGAAATCTGCACTTGGTTCACGTGGGTACAGGAAGAATGCTTTTGAAGGACCCTCATTATGGTAGCTCCTGTTAACCTGCACTGTCCTTGTGGAGTCATAGCTTGAAGAATAAGGGTATTTTTCCATTTCTAAACACATTTTTGAAATTTTGAGTGATGCATTCTTCTATAAATCCCATCTTACCATAGAAAAAAGTTACTCAAAATATCTTTATGGCAATGTATTTATGAAATTGCATTTGACAATCGTGAACAAGCTGCTGTAGTGTATTTTATGACACAAATGCTTTCATTTTAATATGTCCCTTGCCAAATTAGATGATTTTACTTACCAAACTTTATATATACTTCATGCTTAGTGGTAAAAGACAATTAGTTGTAAAATAAGTTAGCGTAACATCCAGACAGAGGCTTTCAATAATAATTTGATATACAATACTGCCAGGGGTGTCTGTTATTTAGAAATAAATAATGCCGCACATCTTTCACTGTAATTACCATCTTTCGCTATTTATATATGACCTGGAGTTTGGTTCATCTTAGAATAGACTCAGAGCTTATAGTTTTTCATCAGGCTCCTAACAGGAGCTTAGATTAAAATGAAAATCTGCAGAAAGAATGAAACTTTTTATCCAGCTATTTTACCTGAGCTTGGTATAATTTTGTATGTGAATAAACTTGGACATATAAAGGCTGTATACATGTGTAGAAATGTGCAAACATATGTTTCCATGTTTCAGAGAGGGGTAGTAACAGTGGTTCTGCACGAGGTAGATTCTCCAAGTTGTTCTGCCAATCTTTTCTTGCTAATGGTCTAGAAAGAAAAATTCTTTAGAATCAACCCTTCAGCAAATAAGAGTAATGAATCACATTGATGTTGTTCTTTATTAAATGTTTATTTTACTAGAAAAACCTTATTTGCCCACTTATGACTAATGTTATTTTTGTTAATAGGCAAAGGGGGTCTGCCAAATATATATTTGATGCATTATAAATGTTTACAAGATAAATGGATGGAGAAAAATGAAACTTGCACACTTGTGAGTCTAAGATAACTTTTTCTGGAACAAATCATGGAATTGATCCCTTTTGCACACCAGCATGTCCAAACATTTTGTGTGTCATTGGGGATGTGCATTCTGTTTTCTGGAGCAAGTTCAGTCTTTCTGTTTTTGTGGGGAAAGTAATTATTTGCTGTACCTAAATCAGGAGAACTAGCACAGACCAAGAAATACTTAGTTATTTTCACCATAGCACATAGAATCTGAAGAGAAATAATCCTGCCTGATTCTATCATGCATAGATCAGATGAAAGCAAAAATGAGTAAATACACAATGAGAAAAAGCAAACAAAAATCGTTTTTTGGGAGAAAAGGGGAGACAGATGTGCAACAAAGAGATAGGAGATGAGGAGAAGTTTGGGTAAGAAAAGGTGTATAAATAACTAGTCCTTGAGTATATTCTCCAGAATATAGTCAGAGACACCTACATTTGAGTCATTAAAAAAAAGAAATCCTTTTTTTATAACAGGAACCAATTCTATTTGAAGGAAGAATAAAATATTGTTTGAATTCATTTATGCTGTCAATATATCTTGTTTTAGAAAAGAAAAAATCTTCTAATGCTATATCAGGTTAGATTATTTTTACTAAAATAATTTGTGAAAAAAACTTCATTGATATATGGAGAAATAACCTCTTAGCTTTTATTTTAAAACAGGTAAAAAATATCTGTAAATGCAGTTTTTAGGAATCTATTTGTACCCATATTCAACATTTCCCCCTCAAATTCAGTTAAAAATAAAGGATTAAATTATCCAAAGTGTCAAATAGTTTTGTTTGATGTTGTTTTATTCAGTTTTTGCCCTAGGATTGTGTAGCAATAATTTAATTGAATCCACTTTGCTTGTAGATGATAATCTGCATTTTGTGATAAAACCTGGACAACTGTTTATATATTTTGGCTAAACTTTCTCAAAACTATGAGAACTGCTCTATTACAATATGCAATGCATATTTGAAGATGCTGTACTTTGCCATGACTGAAGAAAAGACATCTCTTTTTGTCAGTTGGCTTATAAAACAAAGAAAGCTCTTTAACTTCTTTATGTATTGACCTGTTAAGAAAGTAAATGATCTACATATTATTCTTATTATATATATAACACACACATATATATCAGTTTTTAATATAAAAAATGCCATTAAATAAATAACAGTTAAAGAAAAATGTTTTCTTCCCTTAACGGTAAAGTACGATGATAATAAAAAGCATGTTCTAAGAACACAGTCGCACAGATAACAAGCCATAAAATGTAGCATGATTCAGTGAAATCATTCTAAAACAAAAAACTGATAAAAGCTAGGCATTTTTCAAAGAGTACATTTCCCAATGTACAGATGATGCTTTATACTTAACAAGAGCCTTTTACAAAGTGTAAGTGATAGATTTTCTCAAATTGTACATACTGTTCAAGTCTCAATTGGCTGTACAGCGTGCAAACTTGAACTGTGCAAAGGGACTCTGATATTTTACTTTATAGCCATTGAATGACCATAGGAATTGACAAGCCCAGAAAAGCAGGTCTTTATTTTAAAGTGGGATTTTAAAATTAGGTTTTAAAACATTTAAGAAGCAGAATTAAAGATAAATCCACCCATTCAATAATCTTTCTAAAGTCTGAATTTAATAAGGAGCCAGATGCTCTTTAATGAAAGCCCATCACACTAATAATGCATTCCATACTTTTACCAACCAAATAGTGCCATAAACTAAAGATTCAGTCCAGGATGATATCCAACCTTGCACCAGCCCTTCAGATAGTCCAGGACATCTCAACACACACTTGAAATGCTACCAAACCCAAGCCGCCACTTCACATGATTTATGATGTCATTAATGTCAAGCTATCAGTGGACAAGAGTAAAAGAGACAACAGCAAAGCTGACTAAAAACAAATAGTTTTGATTAAACTCAAGGACCTTCGGTACAGCTTTCAGCAAAAAGGCATTCATCATTTCCGAAGCTGACCTTGTTTTTTTTTCTTTTTTTTTCCTTCGTTTTTTAAAATCCTACATGCAAACGTAATGCATGTTGGTATTCTTGCAGCCGCCGAACCCTGTTGTAGCTGTATCCACTCTTTAAAGCAAAATGAATGAAGAAAAAGCTACAGCACCTTTTTTCTATGGGGCTGATTGAGTAGCTAATTGACCCTTTTCCTTAAACTCTCCCTTCCCCTCTCCTTTTATTTCCCAGAAGAATTCTGTCACTCTCCTTCTAAATCATTTCAAAAGAATAGTCTCCTCTTTTTCCTCATTTTCTGATTTTTATGACATTTTTGTGTTCAAAAGAAAAAAAGGCTAAAAATTAGAAATAACAAGAAAGTTGAAAATATATGTGCAGTAAATGAGAGAAGCAAATTATTTTTATGTAAATAGTTCTAACTACAAACAGTTCTAGCTACTAACCTTGTTTTCTAGATACGGTAAGATTATTCCTCAGGCATAATGCTCCTATATCTGACAGAGGCTCAATTTAGAATATACTAATTTTTAAGGCAATAATTAAAATATAAAAATGTAAAGAAGAAATACTATTTCAGAGATTTTGCTCTTCCTCAACATCCAATTGGACCAAGTCACCTCAGGAAATCTTATTTCATGCCCTTGTAAAAGCTGCCATAACTCACTCAAACAACAGAAGGAAAGTAACAGTTCAGGCTTTAAAAATGTATGTTAAAAAGCTGCCAGTGACCTTTTTTTTTTTTTTAAGGTAATGAGATTTTCCACTCACGTACAAATTTTAATCAGTGGTATTCTTACCACATATTTCTGGTACCTTCATGAGCATTTGGGCTTACATTCTTTTATTCCAATAACTGTTTTATTTGTTAATATTAAACACTTCAAATCCATGAGGTTTTATCAGTACATATGGCTTTTACAGACTTCAGTATAAATTGTTATATCTCAATATCAGAATAAAATTATTTAATATAGTATTTAAATATAACATTTAAATATAAATAGTATTTATAGATAAATTATACATGTACTTAAATAAATTTTTAAAACTCAGTATCACATATGCTTAAGATAAAACTGTAGTTTTGTCTTTTTAAATGATTGGAACACTTTCTGAAATATTGCCCATTTTCAGTTGGAATCATTTGTTCATACATACTTAAACACTCTCCCCAAATTTGGTATATTTACTCTGATTTTAAAAATATTTTCTGCTGAGATTTTTTTTAATGGGAAATAAGACAGCCTGTTTTATAAGTATTAACTGTGCATGAGAACATTTGTAATATCACCCTTGGAGAATAATAAACAGATACTAGAGATTGAAATTCTGACATAGTTTACAGAACAATAATCCAAACATCTGTTATAATGACAAGGGATTTGAGCAGAGTAGAGAGTACATGGGAAAGCTATGCTACTTTTAGTACAGTTATAACATTAAATCAAAGCATTGCAGCTCAAGGCAGCTTGCTGCTAATATAAACAATTTTCTACATATTCCTGGGCCACAAGCCAGATCTCAGGATTCAGTTACAAGCACAAGGTCAAGAGGGAATCAACAGTATGAAATTACTGCCTATGAATCAAAAGAATAAATGGATAATTAAATATGAAAACAAATTAGAAGGTATACTCTCATTTAACTCATGAAATGAATTTGTCAAGCAACTTTATGTTTGGAATTTGTTGCAAGAGCAGGATCAGGAGAAGCTTTAATGTATTTATTGATTAAACCTTAGCTATTAGCATTTTCCCTGGGTCAGGCTCACCATATCATTTTTCTACATATATATTTGATTCTAACATAAATCAAACATACATTTAACCATAATCGTACAGATAAATACATTGTCATAATTTTCTTCATGGAACAAAAGAAATGATGCTGGAAACTATATACTGATGATATAAGCCAGTTTTCTTAAACCTGAACTTCTAAAAGACACAGTGTTGCATGGAGAGATTTGTGTCCCAGATGTTAAATGATCTAAAATATAGTCCAGCTTTTGTTAATATCTATATGCTCTTGGCCACATTGTTGTGCCCCTCTAAAATCTAGTTTCCTGTAAAATTCAGTTTAAATTAGATAGAATGTGTAAGACACTGTCTGACATCAAAAAAATATATGTACAGTCAAAACCAAAAACTCTGATATATGAACTTGATATATGGTCATTATGGGATTTCTTCATTGTACAAACATCATACAAGGTACTTAGAAAAAACTAGATGGTATAGCCTACTACACACCTAGGCTATATGATACAGCTCCTGGGCTACAAACCTGTTACTGTAATGAATACTGTAGGCAATTGTAACACAATGGTAAGTGTGTATCTAAACATAGAAAAAGTATATAAAAATACAATGTTATAAGCTTATGGGACCACTATTTTATGTGCAGTCCATCACTGATTGAAACATTATTATGCAGCATATGACTGTATGTGGAAAAGGACAACAATGGGTTGAATCTCTGGAATTAAAGTTTCTAATGAATTTCTCAGAGAAATTTATTATATATCTGACTTCAGATATAAGTAGAAATAGTTATCAGGTGCTAGTTAGAATTTTTGATTAGTGGCTACCTGAATTCTTTCTTATGGAGATAAATGTATCTAAACTCAACTTCAAATTTGAAAGAAAGAAAAATAGTTAAAAATAAATAATAGTCAAATTTGCGGTGGAGGGAAAGAATGGATGTGTGTTTTGTTTTTTTTTAAATTCTTATAAAAAGAAGAGTAGAAATGCTCTGAGATGAAAACCTATGAAATCTCCTCTTCCCAGCAGACATTTTTGAAGGCTAGATCTATGGACTATACTCAAAATGAGCTTATGTGAAGGAACGGCAGTCTTGGGGAATTGAAACAAGAAATTGAGAAGATATAATTTATTGTAGAAAATATTCCATATTAGTTTGGAATTCGTTCATAAGATTGGTGTATTATTTCAAGCATATTATCAGGTGGAAATTCGTCCTTCTTGATTATTCCAGTCCACATAAAGTCAATCTGAAACCCATCCCCCAAAAAAGTTTCACAAAAGGTAAGAAAACAAATGACTAAAGTTTAATGATGCTTTTAAAATGTTCTGAAATGTCAACTGTAGAAATTATTAAAAAATTATCTTGCATTTCCAGTAAAAATAGGAATCCTTCTTTTCTCAATGAATGCAACTATCAAAGCTGCACAAATTGCATGAATAGCATTTGAAAATACTGAAACGTATTAGTGGGGAAAAAAGGGAAAAGCATCTGAATTTGTTGTACCACTAAATGGACCGTAAGTTTGCCTTTTTTTTTTCTTCTACTTATCTCTTGACCTGAACCCAATGCAATTTGGAAGTTGGAAGTCAGCATTGTGGTTCAGACAGATCAAAGAGAAACCCTCCAGTTCAGGCTTGAGGAGCAAAAATGGCAACTCCGAAACCTCAGAGAGAGTGAGGGAAATCTCTTGATTTTTTTCCTCACCTTATTTTTCTGTTCTATTGCACCGTACACCCAGGTGACCCTGCAGCTAAAACTTTAAGGAATAAGAAATTTATTTTCCCTCAGGTGGAGGTGTGTGTGTCTCCAAGCGGATGGGGCAGACTCTGTTGGATTTTCTCCTGTCTTTCTCTCCTCCTGCCACTTGATTCTAGAGGCAGTGCAATCACAGAAGAGGACAGTTTCTGACCAGAGGACTGAAATCCAGTGGTCTGAAAAATACCAGTGAGATAATAGAGAAAATAGCTAGGAAAAGCAATGATTCTGTTTATGCACTCCTGGGTTAACCCTTGACTTATTTGAGTATTAATGTGATCCTAATTAGCATATGAAAGACTTGAAGAACTAACCTATGGTCAGATCTCAGGCTGACCACTTGCATATGCAGGAGCAAAAAAAAAAAAATTCACTGCAATGGCTTTGAAAACTGAATTGACATTGGAACCATGGCCTATAGAAGGCTAAAGGAAAATTATCAACATTCTCCACAGGACATAAGTAAAACCCAAAGTATGATAATATAGTATTCAAAATGGCCACAATCAAGCAAAAATCACTTGGCATATGAGGAGCCACAGTAATCTCAATTCATATGGGATAATGAAATTAAGAGAAACCCATGACAAGATGACAGAAATGTTGGATTAACTGACAAGGACTTCCAAGCAGTATTATAAAAATGATCCAATAGGCAGCTATAAACACACTTAAATATTAAACTAGAAAATGTTGGCAAGTAATAAAAGACATAAAGAAATCATATGCCCATGTATAAACCTAAATTACCTGCACCTAAATAAATGAATAAAAAACGGACAGAATTGAAGGGAGGAACAGACAATTCAACAATAACAAGGGGAGACTTTAATAGCCCATTTTCTTTTTTAAAATTTTTTTATTGATACATAATAATTGTACATATTTATGGGGTACATATACTATTTTGATACATGCATACAATGTGTAATTATCCAATCAGGGTATTTAGGATATCCATCACCTTGAACATTTATCATTTCTTTCTGTTGGAAACATTTTAAATTTTGCTTTCTAGCTATTTGGAAATATAGAATATATTGTTGCTAATTATAGTCACCTTACTTTGCTACCAATTTTTAGAACTTATTCCTTCTGCCTAACAGTATGTTTATACCTTAACCCACCTCTCTTCACACTCTGCCTTACTCTCCAGCCTCTAGTAAACATCATTCTACTCTCTACCTCCATGAGATCAACTTTTTAAGCTCTCAGTTAACTAAGCAGAAGTCTCATAAGGAAATAAGAGACTTGAAAAACATTTTTAACCAACTAGATGTAGCATATATCTATGGAGTACTTCACCAAACTGTAGCTGCAGAACATATAATCTGAAGTGCACAGGGAATGTTTTGTGAGATGGACCATATGCTGAACCGTAATACAAGCCTCAATACACTTAAAATGATTGAAATATAAAGTATGTTCTCTTCTCCAATCACAATGAAATAAAATTAGAAATCAATTAAAAAAGGAAATTGGGGAAACCACAAATATATGGAAATTAAACACACTCCTAAAATACTTAGGGGTTGAAGAAGAAATTTCAAAGGAAATTTAAAAATACTATGAAAAGAATTAAAACAAAAACACAACAGACCAAAACTTATAGAATACAGTTAAACAATGCTTAGGGGTATATTTACAGTTATAAACGAGCATATTAAAAAAGAAGAAAAGTCTCAAATCAATAAACTAATCTTTCATCTGAAGAACCTAGAAAAAGAAGAGTAAATTAAACTCAAAGCAAGAAGAAAAAAGAAACCAATAATGATTAGAGGAAATAAATAAAATAGAGGATAGAAAAATAATAAAGAAAAGCAACAAAAACAAAAGATGACTTTGAAAATCTCAACAAGCCAGGTACAGTGGCTCATACCTATAATCCCAACACTTTGGGAGGCTGAGGCAGGAAGATTGCTTGAGCCCAGGAGTTCGAGACTAGCCTGGGCAACATAGGGAGACTCTTTCTCAAAATATCAAAAAATTACCCAGGCATAGTGTTATGCACCTGTAGCCCCAGGTACTTGAGAAGCTGAGGCAGGAGAATCACTTGAGTCCAGGAGTTCAAGGCGGTAGTGACCCATGATCATGCCACTGCACTCCAACCTGGGCAACCTTTTTTTTGTCTCTTGTCCAAAATGGAGGGACCGGCTGAAGCCATGGCAGAAGAACACAAATTGTGAAGATTTCATGGACATTTATCCGTTCCCAAAATTAATACTTTTATAATTTCTTACACCTATCTTTACTGCAATCTCTGAACATAAATTGTGAAGATTTCATGGACATTTATCACTTCCCCAGTCAATACTTTTATAATATCCTATGCCTGTCTTTACTTTAATTTCATAATCCCATCATCTTTGTAAGCTGAGGATGTATGTCACCTTGGAATCCTGTGATGATTGCATTAACTGCACAAATTGTTTGTAAAACATGTGTGTTTGAAAAATATGAAATCAGGGCACCCAGAAAAAGAACAGAACAACAACGATGTTTGGGGAACAAAGGAAGATAACCTTAAGGTCTGACTGCCTGTGGGGTCCAGCAGAATGAAGCCATAGTTTTCTTCTTGCAGAAAGCGAGTAGGAGAAGTATCGCTGAATTTTTTTCCCAGCAAGGAATAACCCTGGGGAAGGAATGCATTTCCAGGGGTAGGTCTATGGATGGCCACTCTGGGAGTGTCTGTCTTACGTGGTTGAAGCTAAGGGATGAAATAAGCCCTGGTCTCCTGCAGTACCTTCAGGCTTACTAGGATTGGGAAATTCCAGCCTGGTGAATTCTAGTCAGACTGGTTGTCTGCTCTGGAATCCTGTTTCCTGTTAAGATGTTTATCAAGACAATACATGCCCAGTGGGACATGGAACCTCATCAGTAATTCTTATTTCACCCTGACCTTGTGATCTTGCTCTGCTCTTCTGCCCTCATGATGTTTTATTGCCCTTTGAAGCATGTGATCTTTGTGACTTACTCCCTGTTCATACCCCCCTCCCCTTTTGGAATCCCTAATAAAAACTTGCTGGTTTTGCAGCTTAAGAGGCATCATGGAACCTACCAATAGTGATGTCACCCCTGGAGGCCCAGCTGTAAAATTTCTCTCTTTTGTACTCTTTCTCTTTATTTCTCAGAATGGCCGACACTTAGGGAAAATAGAAAAGAACCTATGTTGAAATATTAGGGGATGGTTCCTCTGATAGTATCTGAAAAAAAAAAAAAAGAAAAGATAAAAAATATTAACTAATCTTTAGCTAGAATGGCTAAGAAAGAAAAGAGAGACTACTAAAATTGTTAAATTTTAGAATGAAATGAAGGAAGGCACATCATTACTGACCTTACAGAAATTTAGAAAATGATTATGAAAATATTCTTATATTATGAAATATTATTATAAGGAAATAATATAAATAATTATATGCCAACAAATTATAACTTAAAATGAACAATTTCTAGCATGACACATACCAAAAATGATTCAAGAAGAAATAGAAAATCTGGATTCCTATAATAATAAGAAAAAAATAGAACTGGATATTTAAAAACTCCCCACAAAGAAATGCCCAGGCCCAGATAGCTTCACTGTTTAATTCTACCAAACATTAGAAAATAATTAATATCAATTCTTCATAAACTCTTCCAAAAAACAGAAGAGGAGGATAAATATTCTAACTCATTACATAAGGCCAATATTACTCTGATACCAAAACTAGACAAAGATATCACAAGAAAACTACAGACCAACATCTCTTATGAGTATAGATGCAAAAATTCTCCACAAAATTACAAGCAAACCAAACCCAACAACCTATATAAAAGGATTACACAACATTCACAATCAAGTAGCATTTATCACAGCAATGTGAAGTTGGTTTAACAACCAAAAATCCATTAATTAGTTATACTACAGTCATAAAATTTGGGGAAAAATATAAGTATCTCAACAGATAAAAGTAACACATTTGAGAAAATTCAACACCATCTCATAAGAACACTTAACAAGTTACAAATAAAAGAGAACTTTCACAAACTACCAAAGGGCCTCTAAAGAACCCTGAGGTAACATTGTACTTAATGGTGTAAAACTGACTGTTTTCCCCCAAAATCAGGAATAAGACAAGAATGTCAGCTCTTACCCGCTCTATTTTACATTGTACTTGAGATTTTAGGCAGGGAAATAAAGAAAAAAACAAACAAACACAAAAGGCATCTAGATTAGACAGGAAGAGGAAAATTGTTATTTAGTCATAGATAACTTGATCTTGTACACAGAAATTCCTGAGGAGTCTAATGAAAAACATATTAAAATTTATAAATGAACACAGAGAGATTACAGGATAAATCATAAATAGCAAAATCAATTGTATTTCTATACACTAGAAGAAATCATTCCAAAAATTAAGAAACCAATTCTATTTGCAATAGCATCAAAAATAATAAAACAATTAGGTATGTATTAAACAAAATAAGTGTAAGATGTGCATACCAAAACAAAATGTTGCTTAAATAAATTAAAGAATATCTAAATAAATGGAAAAAAAAAAACCCCGTGTATGTGAAGTGAAAGACTTACATGGCTAAGATAAATTGGTTCCCAAATTGATCTACAAATTCATTATAGCCTATCAAAACCCCAGCTGCCTTTTTCTGCAGAAATTGAAAAGCTGATCCTAATGTTTATATCAAAATTCAAGGAACTCGAGGTAGATAAAACAAACTTTAGAAAAAAGAACAAATTTGGAGAACTCTCACTTTCTAATTTCAAAATTTTCTACAAGCCTATTGTAGAAATGTCCCTGAAAGAGATAAGGAGAATGAAAGCAACTTGGAAAATATATTTCAGGATATCATCCATGAAAATTTCCCCAAACTAGCTAGAGAGACCAACATTCAAATTCAGGAAATGTAGAGAACCCTTGCATATTTCACAAGACAATCATCCCTAAGACACATAATTGTTAGATTCTCCAATGTTGAAATAAAAGAAAAAAATGTTAAAGGCAGCTAGAGAAAAAGGACAACTCACCTACAAAAGGAAGCACATTGCATTAACAGCAGAGCTCTCAGCAGACACCCTACAAACCAGAAGAGATTGGGGACCTATATTCAACATTCTTAAGGAAATGAAATTCAAACCAAGAATTTTATATCTGGCCAATCTAAGCTTCATAAGTGAAGGAGAAATAATATCCTTCTCAGACAAGCAAATGCTGAGGGAATTTGTTACCATCAGCCCTGCCTGACAAGAGTTCCTGAAAGAAGCACTAAATATGGAAGGGAAAGACCATTACCAACCTCTACAAAAACCCACCTAAGTACACAGATCAATGATATTACAAAGCAACCATAGAAACAAATCTGTATAATAAGCAGTTAACAACATAACAGGATCAAATCCACACATATGGATACTAACCTTGAATGTAAATGGGCTAAATACCTCAATTAAAAGGTACAGAGTGGTAAGCTGGATAAAGAAGGAAGACCCAATGGTATAATGTCTTCAAGAGACCCATCTCACATGCAATGACACCAAAAGGCTCAAAATAAAACGATGAAGAAAAATCTACCAAGCAAGTGGAAAACAGAAAAAGACAGGAGTTTCTGGTTTCTGACAAAACAAACATTAAACCAACAAAGATCAAAAAAGACAAAGAAGGGCATTACATAATGGTAAAGGGCGCAATTTAACAAGAAGACCTAAATATTCTAAATATACATGCACCCAACACAGGACCACCTAGCTTCATAAAGCAAGTTGTTAGAGACCATCAAAGAGACTTAGATTCTCACACAATAATAATGGTAGACTTCACATTCCACTGAAAGTATTAGACAGATCAACGAGGCAGAAAATTAACAAAGATATTCAGAATCTGAACTCAGCACTGGACTAAATGGACCTGATAGACATCTACAGAACTCTCCATCCCCAAACAACAGAATATACATTCTTTGCATTGCCACATGGCACATACTCTAAGATAGACCACACAATCCTCATGAAACAATCCTTAGCAAATGCAAAAGAACCAAAGTCATACCAACCATTCTCATGGACTACAATGTAGTAAAAATAGAAATCAAGACTAAGAAAATTGCTCAAAACCATACAATTAAACGGAAATTAACTTCATTTTGAATTTTTTGGGTAATAATGAAATTAAGGCAGCAATCAAGAAATTCTTTGAAACTAATGAGAACAAAGATACAACATACCAGAATCTCTGGGACACAGCTAAGGCAGTGTTAAGAGGGAAGTTTATAGCACTGAATGTCCACATCAAAAAGTTAGAAAGATCTCAAATTAACAACCAAATGTCATAACAAAAAGAACTAGAGAAGCAGGAGCAAACCATCCCCAAGGTTAGCAGAAGATGAGAAATAACCAAAATCAGAGCTGAACTGAATTAGATTGAGACATGAAAAACCATTACACAGATCAATGAATTCAGGAGTTTGTTTTTCTGAAAAAATTAGTTGTACAGATAGACTGCTGGCTAGATTAATTAATAAAGAAGAAAACAGAGAAGTCCTAAGTAAACTCAAGTAGAAATGACGGAATGTTACCACTGACCCCACAGAAATACAAATAACCGTCTGAGACTACTATGAACACCTCTATGCACAAAAAGTAGAAAATATAGAACAAATGGACAAGTTCTTAAGCATATATGCCCTTCCAAGACCGAACCAGGAAGAAATTAAACTCGACAGAATGACCAATTACGAGGTATGAAAATGAATCAGTAATAAATAGTCCATCAACCAAAAAAAAGCCCAGGACCAGTTAGATTCACAGCCAAATTCTGTCAGAAGATCTACAAAGAAAAGCTGGTACTGTGTCTACTGAAACTATTTCCAAAAAAATTTAGGAGGAAGGACTCCTCCCCAGCTCATTCTATGAGGCCAGCATCATCCTGATACCAATACCTGGTAGAGGTACAAAAAAAAAGAAAAAAAAAAAAAAAGGAGAACTTCAGGCCAACATCCTTGATGAGCATTGATACAAAAAATCTTCAACAAAATACTAGCAAACTGAATCTAGCAGCACATTAAAAAGCTAATCTACCATGATCAAGTAGGCTTTAAATCCTGGTTTGCAAGTTTGGTTCAACATATGCAAATTAATAAATGTGATTCATCACATAAACAGAACGAAAGACAAAAACCACGATTATCTCAATAGATACAGAAAAGGTTTTTGATAAAATTACACGTCGCTTTATGTTAAAAATTCACTATAACCTAGACATTAAAGGAACATACCTCAAAATAATAAGCACCATCTATAACAAACCCACCACCAACATCATGCTGAATGGACAAAAGCTGGAAGCATTCCCCTTGGAAATCAGCACAAGACAAGGATTCCCTCTGTCACCACTCCTATTCAACATAGTATTGGAAGTTCTCAACAGAACAATCAGGAAAGAGAGGAAAATAAGGGGCATCCAAGTAGGAAGAGAGGAAGTCAAAATATCCCTGTTTGCAGATGACATGCTTCTGTATTTAAAAAACCCATAGTCTCGGCCCAAAAGATCCTGCTAAACAACTTCAGCAAAGTTTCAGGATACAAAATTAATGGACATATATCACTAATATTTCTATATACTAACAACAGCCAAGTCGAGAGCCAAATCAGGAACTCAATCCCATTCACAATTAGCATAAAAGGAATAAAATACTTCGGAATACAGCTAGCCAGGGAGGTGAAAGATCTCTACAATGAAAAGTACAGAAGGCTGTTCAGGGAAATCGGAGATGACATGAACAAATGGAAAAACATTCCATACTCATGGATATAAATAACCAATATTGTTAAAATGGCCATGCTGCCCAAAGCAATTTCAGATTCAATGCTATTCCTATCAAACTACCAATGACATTCTTCACAGAACTAGAAAAAACTATTTTAGAATTCGTATGGAACCAAAAACCCAAACAGCCAAGACAATCCTAAGCAAAAAGAACAAAGCTAGAGGCATCACATTACCACTTCAAACTCTACTGCAAGGCTATGGTAACCAAAACAGCATGGTACTGGTACAAAAACAGATACATAGATCAATGGAACAGAATAGAGAGCCCAGAAATAAGCCGCACACCTAAAACAATCTGATCTTTGACAAAGCTGATAAAAACAAGCAATGAAAAGGACTCCCTATGAAATAATTGGTGCTGTGATAACTGACTAGACATATGCAGAAGATGTAAACTGGACCCTTCCTTACACCATACACAAAAATCAACTCAAGATGGATCAAAGACTTAAATGTAAAACCCAAAACTATAAATACCCCAGAAGAAAACCTAGGCAGTAACTTTCTGGACATAGGAACTGGCAAATATTTCATGAGGAAGACTCCAAAAGCAATTGCAACAAAGACACATGCACATATGTGTTCATTGCAGCACTATTCATAATTGCAAAAACATGGGACAGGCTAAATGCCCATCAGTGGAAAACTGGATGAAGAAAATGTGGTACATGCATACCATGGAATACTATGCAGCCATAATAAAGAAGGAGATCACATTCTTTGTGGGAACGTTGATGGAGCTGGAGGCCATTGTCCTTAGCAAACTCATGCAGGAACAGAAAACCAAATACTGTATGTTCTCACTTATAAGGGGGAACTAAATGATGAGAACACATGGAAACAAAAAGGGGAACAATAGACACTGGGGCCTACTTGTGTGTGAAGGGTGAGAGGAGGGACAGAATCAGAAAAAATAACTATTGGGTACTAGGCTTCATACCTTGGTGACAAAATAATCTGTACAATAAACCCCTGTGACACAAGTTTACCTGTATAACAAACCTACACACCTACCCCTGAACCTAAAATAAAAGTAAAAGTAAGTTTCACATGAGTTTTAGAGGGGACACTGAAACCACGGTATTCTTCTCCTGCTCCTTCCAAACGTATGTCCTTCTCAAATACAATTACATTCATTGTATCTCTATAGTTCCAAACTGTTGTCTCATTTCAGCACCAACTGACACATCCAAAGTCCAAAGTTTCATCTGCAAACGTGTGAAATAAGAACAAGATATCTGCTTTGAGGATCAAATGTGGCATAGTCATAGGGAACACATTCCCATTTCAAAAGGGAAAAACAGCCAAGAAGAAAGGGGTAACATGCCCTAGGCAAGTCTAAAACCTAAGAGACACAGACAGTAGGTCTGAAGACCCCAGAATCATCTCTTTTTACCTCATGTCTGGCATCCTCAGCATACTGGTGTGGTGGTTGAGCCCCCAAGGCCTTAAACAACCCCAACCCAATGGGTTTCTTGGCTCAGCCCACCTAGCTCTACCATGCTTGTGTTGCACACTGATAGCTCCACAGTTCTGGGGTCTTAGTGACAGTCTCACTCCCATGACTTTCTAGGCATTGCCCTAGTGGGGACTCTCTGCAGTAGTTCCATCCCCACATACCCACTCAGCATAACTCTAGTGGGGGCGTCAGCCCCTGTGACCAGTCTCTGCTTGAACCCTCAGGCTTTTGATGACATTTTTTGAAATCTAGGTAGAATCTGCCAAGTCTCCACAGCTCTCACTTTCTGTAAGTCTGCAAAATTAGCACCACGTGGATGCCACCAAGTTTTAGAACATGTACCTTCTGAGTTTTTGGCACAAGCTGCACTTAAGGCTGCTTGAGCCAGAGTGACAGTGATGTGGGGAGAAGCAAGAACTGCTCAGAGGTGGCACATGGCAGCCATGCCTGGGCCTGTCCCCTAAAACCCTTCTGTCCTCCTAGGTCTCTGGGTCTGTGAGGGGAGGGTCAGCCTCAAAGATTTCTGAAATGCCTTCAGGGGCCTTTTCCCCATGGTCTTGACTTTTAGCACCTGGTTCTCTTTTAGCCATGCTAATCTCTTTAGAAAGTACTAGCTGGGCCTCACTCTTGGATTTCTCTCCTGAAAATGCTCTTTTATTCCCCACCTCATGGCAAGACTGAATATTATATGGAAAATACAGACTTTCCCCCTCTGTTTCTCCTGTCTCTAGAGGTTCACTGTAAGCAGTTAGAAGTAACCACTCAGCAGCCTGAGAACTTGGTGGCTTAGAAATTTCTTCCACCAGATATCCTAGTTCATCCCTCTCAAGTTTGGCCTTTCACAAAGCCCTTGGACTTGGATACAATGCAGCCAAGTTCTTTATCCATGTATATCAGGGATAGTCTTTACTCCAGTTTCTAATATTTTGTTTCTCAGTTCCATCTAAAACCTTGTCTGAATGGCCTTTCCTGTCCATATTTTCTATCAGTATGCTGGTCATAACCACTTAAGCAATCTCTACAGAGTTCCCAACT
Source organism: Homo sapiens (assembly GCF_000001405.40). Taxonomy (NCBI): domain Eukaryota; kingdom Metazoa; phylum Chordata; class Mammalia; order Primates; family Hominidae; genus Homo; species Homo sapiens. The sequence continues at coordinate 92,788,224 of NC_000005.10, read as the reverse complement.
TTCCCCAGTCTTCTTGTATTCTAAGTCTGCACCAGAATCTCGATTTTTTTCTAGCCTGCTTCTCTAAGTTCTTTTAGCTTCTGCCCATTACCCAGTTCTAAAGCCTCTTCTATGTTTTTAGGTATTTACTATCAGCAACACCCCACTTCCAGGTCTCAATTTTCTGTCTCAGTCCCTTTAGTCCATCAATCTGTGAATCCAATCACCTCTTAAAGGCCTTACTTTTCAATACTGCCATATTTCAGATTAATTTTCAACATGACTCTTGGAGGCAACATTCAAATCATAGTAGAATTTGCACCCAATATGTAAGGAGACCTTATGACTCTGTAATAAAAAGTAAAAATAACAATTAAAAATAATCAAAGGGTTTGAGTAGGCTATTACTCCAAAAAAGATACACAAATGGTCGATCTGCATATGAAAAGATGCTCAACACAATTAGGCCATAGGGAAATGCATACCTAAACCTCAGTAAGGTACGACTTCACACACTTTAAGAAAGCTATAATGAAAAAGATAGACAGAACAAGTTATGGTGAAGATTGGAGAAACTGGCATTCTCATATATTGTTGGTAGAAATTTTAAATGGTGCAGCACCTTTAGAAAAAATTAATTTACAATAGCACCAAAAATGTAATTCATAGGTATAAATCAACAACATATGTATAAGGTTTGTGTGTGGAAAACTACACAATGCCAATTAATGAAATCAAGGAAGAACTAATAAATGGAGATATTTTTTCCATCTTCATTGGCTAGTAGATTCTAAATTGTTAAAAGAGCTACGCCTCCCAAGTTGATACAGACACACAGTATAATCCCAGTCAAATTCCCAGCAAGATATTATGTAAATAACAACAAACCAATTCTTAAATGTATAGGAAAAGTCAAAACTTTGTAGCATAGCTAATATGGTACTGAAGAAGAGCAAAGTTAGAGGGCTTACATCAGGGGTCCCCAACACCCAAGTGGCTGACCATTAACAGTCTGTGGCCTGTTAGGAACTGGGCAGCATAGCAGGAGGTAAGTGGCAGGTGAGCGAGCAACTACCAATTCAGCTCCCCCTCTTGTCAGATTGGCAGCCACATTCGATTCTCATAGGAGCATGAACCCTATTGTGAACTGTGCATTCAAGGGATTTAGGTTGCATACTCCTTATGAGTATGACTGATGATCTGAGATGGAACAGTGTCATCCCAAAACCAAACTCCTACCACCCCATCTCTACTCCCACCCACACCCCATCCCCGGTCCATTGAAAAATTGTCTTTCACGAAACTGGTCCCTGGTGCCAAAAAGGTTGAGGACCGCTGGCGTTCAGTACTGATTGGAAAACTTATTATAAAGAACAGTAATCAAGATGGTATTGTATTAATGAAAGAATAGACATGGATTAATAGAACATAATGAAGAGCTCAGAGATAGACTAACACACACATATGTAGACAAGAATCTTGACAACGGCAATACAAATTCAATGAACAGTTTCTCAACAAATGGACCTGGAAATTTGGGATGTTATTTACTTTTTTTTCCATGCAAATTCCAATTGCTCATTGCTGATGTATAATAAAGCAATTGACTTTTTAATTTGACCTTGTATCCTACAACCTCGATGTATGCATTAGGTCCAGGTATTAATTTGTACATTCTTTGGGTTTTTCCACGTTGAAAATCATACCATATGCAAAAAAATGATAGTTTTATTTCTTCCTACCTGTATATCTTTTATTTCTGTTTCTTATCTCATTGCATTAGCTAAGATTTCTGTTACATTGTTAAATAGGAATGGTAAAAGAGGTCATCCATGTTCCTGATCCTAAGGGGACAGTTTTCTGAATCTCATCATTGGTTATAATGTCAGCCGTAGGTTTTCTGTAGGTATTTTTTTTTAATCAAGTTGCGGAAGTTACTCTATATCAATTTTTCTGAGATTTTTTATCATCAGTGGATGTTGGATTTTGTCAAATGCTTTTTTTCTGTATCTACTGATATGATTATATAATTTTTCTTTTGTAACCTGTTGATATAGTAGATTGCATATCAGCCCATTTGTATTGTTATAAAGGAGTACCTGAGGCTGGTTAATTCATAAAGAAAAGAGATTTCTTTTGACTCACAGTTCTACAGACTCTGCAGTAAGCATGGTGCAAGCATCTGCTTCTGTTGAGGGCCTCAGAGGCTTACAATCATGTCAGAAGGTCAAGGGGAGCCAGTGAGTCACATGTGAGAGGAGTGAGAGAGACAAGGAAGATCCCAGGCTCTTTCATACAGCCAGATCTCTCCTGAACTTACTTATTGCCATAAGAATGGCACAAAGCTATTCATGAAGGATCCACCTCTATGGCCCAAACACCTTTTACCAGGCCCCACCTCTAATCATTGGGGATTATATTTGAACATGAAATCTGAAGGAGACAAACACCCAAACCATAGCAATTGTACTGATTTTGAATGTTAAACCAGTCTTGCTTAACTGGAATAATCTCACTTGGTTATAGTATGAAATTCTTTTTATACAATCTTGGATTCTATTTTCTTATATTTTGTTGAGGCTTTTTGCATGTATGTTCATGAAAAATACTGGTTTTGGTTTGCTTGTCTTATAATGTCATAGCCTGGTTTGATAGTAGGGTAATGCTGACTTTACAAATGAGTTAGGAAGTGTTTCCTCTGCTTCTATTTTCTGGAAAAATTGTCAAGAATTAGTATTATAGGGCCGGACATGGTGGCTCACACCTGTAATCCCAGCACTTTGGGAGGCCGAGGCGGGCGGATCATGAGGTCAGGAGATGGAGACCATCCTGGCTAACATGGTGAAACCCCGTCTCTACTAAAAATACAAAAAATTAGCCGGGTGGTGGCGGGCTCCCGTAGTCCCAGCTACTCCGGAGGCTGAGGCAGGAGAATGGCGTGAACCCAGGAGGCGGAGCTTTCAGTGAGCCAAGATTGGGCCACTGCACTCCAGCTTGGGCGACAGAGCGAGACTCGTCTCAAGTAAAAAAACAAACAAACAAAAAAAGCAAGAATGAGTATTATTTCTTCCTTAAATATTTGATATAATTCACTAGTAAAACCATCTTAGCCTTTTTTGAAGATTATTATCTATTTCTGTTTTGGAAAGTTATTAATTATAGGCTTTTTGAAGGTTATTAGATAATAATTTCTGTTATTTTAAATGTGCCTAAGTATGTTTCATGGCTGAGAATGTAGATTATCTTGGTGGGCGTTCTATGAGAACTTGAAAAGAATGTGTATGCTGCTTATGTTTGGTAAAAACAACCTATAAATGTCAATTAGATCAAGTTGATTGTTAATTCTGTTCTGGATATCATATCCCTACTAATATTCTGCCTACTTGACATGTAAGTTACCGATAGAGAGGGTTTAAATCTGTAACTCTAATGTTGGATTTGTCTATTTATCCTTTTAGTTCTATTGGTTTTTGCTTCATGCATTTTGACAATGTTATATGCATACATATATAAGATCCTTAAATCTTTTTTGAAGATGACCTCTTTATCATTATGACATACTTATTTTTTCTCTTTGGTAATCTTTCTTGCTCTGAATTCTGCTGTGTCTGAAGTTTTTTGTCACATTTTTTTTTTTTTAAATAGAGACAGAGTCTCACTGTGTTGCCCAGGCTGGTCTCAAACTCCTGGTCTTAAGCAACCCTTCCCACTTTGCCTTCCAAAATGCTGGGATTCTATGCATGAACTGCCATGCCTGGCCTGTCTGAAATTAATATATAGCTACTCCAGCATTCTTTAGTTTAGCTTTCCTGGGTTATACTGGTGTGGACTCTTTTAATTTTTTTTTGTTGTTGTTTTTGAGACAGAGTCTCGCTCTTTTGCCAGGCTGGAGTGCAGTGGCTGGATCTCAGCTCACTGCAAGCTCAGCCTTCCACGTTCAAGCAATTCTTTTGCCTCAGCCTCCCAAGTGGCTGGGACTACAGGCGCGTGCCACCACGCCCAGCTAATTTTTGTATTTTTAGTAGAGACGGGGTTTCACCATGTTGGCCAGGATGGTATCGATCTCCTGACCTTGTGATCTGCCTGCCTTGGCCTCCCAAAGTGCTAGGATTACAGGCGTTAGCCACTGTGCCAGCCTCTTTTAATTTTTAACAGTGTTGAGTCTTTATATTTGAAGTGAGTTTATTTTACATGAGATAAAGTTGCCTCTAGATTATTTTTCATCTACTCATTCAACTTCTATCTTTTAATTAGTACTTTTAGATTATACAGTGATTAATATGTATTAATATGTAATAAGTAATTAATATGTATTATAATTATAACTTATATTTAATCATACTAATTGTTGCTTATCCTACCCCTTTTTTATGGCTTCTCTGATATTAAGGATTTTACATGATTCTATTTTATCTCCTTCAGAGTGTATCAATTATTCTTGTTTAACAAAGATTTTAGTTATTGCTCTAGAGTTTACAATATACATTTTAATTAGTCTAACTTAACCTTCACATAACACTATACTCATTTATAAGTAGTGCAGGTAACTTACAGCAGAGCATTCTCAATTAATTCCTGTGACAATGCTGTTTTACATTTCACTTATTCATACCTATAATTACCTAATACATTGTTATCATGATTACTTTAAACATACAGTTGTCTTACAGTAGCACCAAAATACAGTTAAAAATAAGAAAAACACAATCCTGTTTTATCTTAATACATTTTTTCTCTGACACTTTTCTTTCTTTCTTTAAATGTAGATCCATGTTTTTAGCCTATTTAGCTTTCCTTCAGCATGAAGAACTTCTTTTAACTTTTCTTATAAGGTTGGTCATCTGGTAACATAATTTTTCCAGTTTGTTTGAGGATGTCCTTATTTCTCTATTTGGAAAGATAATTTTGCTGAAAATTGTAGGTTTTCTTTTTTTCAACATTTTAAATATTTGACTTTTCTGCCTTGTGTGCATGGTTTCTGATCAGAAATTGTTTAATTCTTATCTTTGTTCTTCCACAGGCAAGGTATTCTACCTTTATCTCCTGACCCTCAGCTTCCTTCAAGGTTTTCTTTCTTTTGGGTTTTCTGGAGATTGAATATATAATTTATTATATCTAGGTATTTTTTTTTCTTTTTGTATTTACTCTACTTGGTGCTCTCTAAGCTTCCTGGATCCGTGGTTTTGTGTCTGCCATTCCCTCTTTACTTTCTGAAGTTTACTGAAAATCAGCTGACAAAAAGCAGATTAATAGGAACAAAAGCCATACAAAATATATTTTAATATACATAGCATGGGGAAATCACAGGAGAATAATTAAATAATCCAGTGGGATACAGAATCTTATATTCCTTTCTTCATAGGGGAGGGAGGAGTTGAAAAATTTCAACAATTTTTTGAGGGATAGTAAATGATTATTAAGAACAATGAGTGGACCCAGGTGACAGAAGTAAACTTTAAAATTATTCTCTTTGGAATTTAAATAAGCTGAGAGGCAGACCTTAGTTTTTGAAAAATCCATCCAAATGTAGCTACATTTCTCAGTCTTGTTTTCTGGAGTAAATAATGAGGTTTCAAGGAGGGAATGGAAGATAGTTGTGCTCCTCTTTGGGAGTCCAGTTTTTAGGTAAATAAGGAAACTTTAGAGAACAGCCTCATCCTCTGCTTTGGGAGAGACAGAAGGGTTGAGATTTGAGTCAGGGGAAGGTCAGAGAGAGCTTAAGGCTGTTTCTTCAGCACAACATGTCAGAGTGTCATATTTTGGGGCATTGTTTTCTGTGCCCCAACGTTTCCCTGTCTGAAGCTTTCCTAGAAGTTTCACACACATAAAGCTGAGTTGGTGTCTTTGGAGAGAAAAATACCAAATTAGCAACTGAGTGGCTAAGGATACCATTAAACTAGTTTCCCCTTTCTGTGAATAAGTAAGTTCAGTTAAATAGTTGTGTCTCATTTAAGGAGATGGCATTGCAGATGGGCTCTCACAGCTAGGCCTCTATATGAGGTAGGCAAACAGATTTTTAATAAATGGCATTTCCATAGGAACAGAAGAAAAGGTTAATGCCTGGAGTAATCTATAGAGTAGTTTCTTTAGCATTTGGAGGGCAGTTAGTTGAAAAGATTAATGGCAATCTAACAGAGTTTTTGGTTTATTCTCTCCATGTACAAAATTTGTTCAAATATAAGCTCTGTGTTGATTTCTCTTTAAAGCCTGAGTGACTAGCTTCAGTTTTTAGGGCCTCAGAAAAAAAGGCAGTTTTAATTTTTAGTAATTCCAAGTGAGAAAGGGTGAACGAAAATTAGAAATGTTAGTCTGGTGAATCTAAGATAGATATGGGAAGAAACTAAAAATTTGGGATTCAGTCCAGATAATTAAAAAAACTAATTAAAAAATAGATGGTACTAGAACCGAGTAACATGTATACTATAGGTCTTCTGAAACATAATTTTTCTCTCTCCAGTCTTTCATTTCTACCAAAGATGTTTTCAGCAAGACTAATTTGTTCATAAATAAGTTCAGTTTCATTAACTCTGATTATTTACATAAATAATAATAAATAAATAAGCCTGATTATTTACATAAAGTGCAGTAAGAATAATGATTTATCCTATAGCCTCTTCATAAGTGGCAATTTTGGAACTTTGTATAAGAAATTAAAAGCCTCTTAAGACTAGGAAGCCTGCCTAGGATTAACCTCGCTCTCAGATCGTGTCTGTAAAACTTATACAAATTAAATAAAAACCTCTGCTAACAAGGTCCCCAAAATATCTTGAGGTCCTTGGGCCGCTCAAAAAGTGGCAATTTTTGCTTACTGCAAGGGCAGGAACCCTGTAAAGGAACCATGTAGACAAGGTGCTAGATCAGTTTTTCCAAGGGGATTTTTATTGTCCCCATTAAAGACAACCTCAATCCCTCAAACTAGTTTGGTCATATCTAAAAATATGATTCCAGTCATAACCTTGGTGAAATAAACAGTGTCTGCAATTGCGTCCTATTACAAAAGAGAGCAGATTCTCACTGAACTTATGTAAAAATACTATATTGCCATCAAACAAAAAGATGCATGAACAGTTTCTGAATTCTGGAGAAATCAGGAGAGAAAAAGGTAAATGTTTCAGTTCTGCTCAAAAAATTATAATTTACCAAATTGCTGTAAAGCTATAGACAATCCAAGGGGATTTTTAAAAAGAGTTTTAGAATTTTTAGCCAGTTCAATTGTATGGTTTCAAATTTGTCAGAAACCTGTATTTGTCATTTTTTTTAATCCCTTCGCTGAACTCCTTGAAGACACAACATTTTAGGATTTGCAAAGAGCTTTCAGAAAAAAAAAGGCATCAGAATAATGCATTTGATTGGGGGCAACACAGCTTAAAATGGCCATGGTTAAAGATGCAATTGACAAAGAAATTTGGTTATTTTCTGTGGCCTTCAACAATTTAGCATAATAATCATAATGATGATGGATAACATAAACCAGAGCTAAGAGGAACCTTAGTACTGCTCCTGGGGTTCCATGAAGAAGACAGGGGGTCCCAATATAAGGAGGTCAGTGGCATATTTTTGTGTTTTTCAAGGAGTCTCAGAGTTGCTAGAAGTCCCCTCTAGATCCCTTCATGTGGTATCAAAAGTGGCAAAAAGAAACGGGCAGAGCAAGTGGAAGAACAAGTCTTAGAAGTCAATTTGGGGAGTTTTAAACATTTCAAAAGGCTAATGTAGTTCTAGTTAGCAAGGGTTTAAGAGAAAGGGTTCTAATCTTCTAAGAAGTTTCCTGGGGAGAAAGGATTTAAAAGAGAACAGAGAAAAATATAAGCTTTTAATTAAGCTTTTGACCTTAGAGCTCTATTAAAAATAAATAAATAAATAATTAAATATACAAGCAGCAAACTTTCTGTCACACAACCCACCAGCCTTTTGCTGGACCCAAGAGGACGTGGTGGCAGCGGCAGGAGCAGTGTGTTTCCCTGCACTGCCTGAAGTGGGGTCTACCGCACTTGCTCACTACTTTGTCTGTCAGTGGTGCTGCAGGGTGTGTCTCTCCAGCTCAATAGAGAGGGAAAGACAAATGAAACCAAAACACCAAAAAACCTAAAGAACCACTTGTATCACAGCCTGAATACAAACCGATTTTAAACCAGATATACCTAGACAAATGATCAAAATCAAAACAAATAAGCACACATGAGACTAAAATCAAGAAGCCCTTTATGGCCTTAGCCAAGTTTTCCAAAGAAGGAGCAAAAGCTGTAACCATTCCAAAATTCAGATAACTCCCAATGGTAGTATAAAGGAAGAAAAATTTTGCTAGCAACAAATGGGATACAACCCACATCTCTGTGTGGTCTCATTTTCCAGGACCCCAGTGTCTCAGCTGACCATCTGTACACAAAGGCCTGACAACCCATGTGCTGCATGGACAGAAAATTAAAGGAGACAAATAGTTTGACAACAGGAAATTAAAAACCTGTCTATGGGAGAAGAAAGGATTATAAACAAATGGATATCCCCAAAGGTCAAGAGTCATGCAAATATAAATTGAAAACAATGTAAACTAATTTGTATGAATGTTTTTCTTTTCCTGAGTCAAAGGATTTACATTTCCAAGGAACTGATTTCATGACCTGGAATCAAACCTGGGTTGCAGTGGTGAAAGTGCCCAATCCTAGCCATGAGGCTACAGAGTGCAGTGCCTTTCTTGCAAATCCCACAGAAAATCCAAAACAGGAAGTTTGAGCTTTCAAAGGATTTTAACTTTTGTTCTGGGTCAGATTTATGCTCTTTAGTTTTGTATCTTTTATCTAATTTGATCTTTCTTTCCATAAATAAAAATAAGGTAATTGTTTAGAAAGAGACATCTGTAATATATATATTTTTCCCACATAGGAGTCTTTTTAACTTAAAGATCCATTGTCTGGCCACTAATGACTAATGAATATCTAATGATGTACTTATTTTAATAGTGATTCAATCTAATAAGGCTCTTTATGGAAAGACCAGGAGGTAATTGTTAGGCTTAGAATAAGTTTTACCATATAAGCAAAAGGAGTTCCTGGAAAGGGTGTCAAAGAGACAATGCCCATGATCACCCAAAATTAATGCCTATAAATAGACTAAGAGAGCAAAAAGATGGTTACAGTCACAGATGGTTGAGAACAGTGTTTTCGGAACAGTGTCTCCAGTATCTCACAAATTTGTGGGGGGTTGCCAGTTACAGACCTGTTAATCTGTGATATGGGCAGGTCCTCCTGGAACTGGACTTTCCCAGTACTAATCGGGCAATGAGAGTTGAGACAGCAAAAGGCCTTTATGGATGGTACTTTTTATTGACGTAAACTCCCCTGAGAGCTTGGCATATAGGAAACAAAGAGAGTGTTGTTTAAAATTGCACATATCTTGAGGTTTTTAGTCCTTTCACACTGGCCATCGGATGAGACCCAAAAATCATGCCCCATGATTTTAAGCAAAAATTTAAGCAAAAATTGTCACTTTTTGAGTGGCCCAAGGACCTCAAGATATTTTGGGGACCTTGTTAACCGAGGTTTTTATTTAAAAAAGCTCTATTTTAAGGTGGAGACGGACAGAGTGCTCCCACTTGGTCACAAGTCAAGCCCTCAAGAACATAAAACAAGACAAGAGGAGAACCTCATCCAGTTTTTATTTCAGTGACCCACAGCACAGTTTGTCTTAAACAAGTGCTGATCTGATAAGAACTGTAAAGCTCACAGTCTATAGAGGCTGGCTCAAACAACAGACTGGCAGGGATTTTAGGCCTGTATTTTATTCTATGGTAATCCTCTTTATGATGAAATGACAAAAGAAGACAAAGACAAAGGAAAATCTGTCCTCCAAAAGACCACTAGAGTAGCTAAATAGAAAAGAGTGCTATAAGATGTCTATTACTGGCAATATCGGTTTGCAAGCCAGGAAGAGGAAATCTCCAGCATGAACTTGAAGGCGCTCTCTTCTCGAAGAGGGGAAGAGCAGGTTGGGTTTTATGCCATTCAGGGCCTGTATCATACTTATTTAGCAGGTTTGGGGGGGAAAGTTATACATGTTTTTTGTATATGAGGGGAGCTGAATGCATGTGCAATGGGTAAACACGTGTGTAACATACACACCATGTTTATTTGGGCAGTGTTTTAGCATTAACATGAGGTGGAATTTGGCTCCTTACATTAGAAGGCAAACTGTAGGCCGGGCTTGGTGGCTCATGCCTGTAATCCCAGCACTTTGGGAGCCCTAGGCGGGCAGGTCACGAGGTCAGGAGATCGAGACCATCCTGGCTAACACAGTGAAACCCCGTCTCTACTAAAAATACAAAAAATTAACTGGGCGTGGTGTCACACGCCTATAATCCCAGCTACTCCGGAGGCTGAGGCAAGAGAATTGCTTGAACCTGGGAGGCGGAGGTTGCAGTTAGCCGAGATCACGCCACTGTATTTCAGCCTGGGTGACAGAGCAAAACTCCATCACAAAAAAAAAAGAAAAATGAAAAAAAAAAGGCAAACTGTAGGACACAAAGACAGTTTGTATATGCAGCCTCTATAAGCTGGCTGAAACTGGTTTAAGGACTGTGATAGCTTATCAGGAAAGAATGTAAGGTCAGTCCTTTGTCCAGTCAGAGTTGTAGTGGTCTGGGTTTTAACCAGTTGATAGCTCCTATTGTTAGGGAGCTGAGCAAGGGTGTGGGTTTTCTTATTGTAATAGGAATTTAGAATTTGCCATGCCAGCCAGTCCCTGAACCCTCGACCTGTAGATGGCTTTTTTTTCCCTTAAATTTAGGGCCCATCTTACTTGATAAAGGGGTATCTATTTTGGTCTCTCAGATCACAAAACAAAGGTATTTCTGGGAGAAAAGGGATCAGACAGTGTGAATATTTATACCAAAAAGACACCAGAGTTTTTACACCTAAGACTAGTCACAGAAATTCTTTTCTACTATGAGTCTTAAATTTGGAAAGGAAAAAGAGAAAATCAGTAATTTTTACTGTCTGCTTCACTGGATTCCACAAAAATACATGCAGAAATCTGACTGGTAAGAAAATTTTACTTTTTTTTGTTTTTTTGGCCAACCTGTCAGGTCCCAGTTTCTCTAGACTGTGGCTTCTAGAAGAGCAGAGCTGTTTGGTTACCCTGCTTGCAGGACCAAAACTGTAGGGACCAAGAGGGAAAGCTTCCTCCTTTACCTTCTGAAGTTCACTGAAAATCAACTAACAAAAGGCAGGAACAAAAGCCATACAAAATTTATTTTAACACTCATAGCCTGGGGGAATTGCAGGGGAATGATCACCCACTAACCTGATGTAGTACAGAAGCTTATATTACCTTCTTAGAAGAAGAAGGAGATGGTGAATGTAAGCAATTCTTTTGAGGAATAGTTAATAATTGTATATGCAGCCTCCATAAGCTGGCTGAAACTGATTTAAGAACTGTAATAGCTTATCAGGAAAGAAGGTAAGGTCAGTCCTTTGTCCAATCAGTGTTGTAGTGGTCTGGGTTTAAACCAGTTGACAGCACCTATTGTTAGGGAGCTGAGCAAGGGTATGGGTTTTCTTACTGTAATAGGAAACCAGGAACCCAGTTTTCTTATTGTAATAGGAACCCAGTAGACAGAGTAGACAGAAATTAACTTGTAACTGATTCTTTTTGGACTTTGAATGAGCTGAGAGGCAAACATTGCTTGAAAAAGGCTGTCCAGGTATGGTTGCATTCCTCAGTCTTATTTTCTGAGATAGATAATGAGATTTCAGGGAAGGCATGGAAGGCAATTGTGTTCTTTAGGGGTCTGTTACTTAGGTAGATAAGGAAGCCTTAGTTAACAGCCTTATCTTGTGCTATGGGAGAGACAAAAGCGTTGAGACACAGGAGTAGGGGTGAGGTTAGAGAGACCTTGAGGTTGCTTCTTTAGCTCAGCATGTTAAAGAAAGTGCCATATTTGGGGACACAGTTTTCTCTGTGCTGAATTAGCATGGCTTGTAATTTTTTTTTAAAGTTGGAATGTTGAATTGTGTAATAAGAACTGAAGTAAGTAAGCCTTTTGTGTGTAGTTTTGATATGCTTTGCCGCTGTAATCTCCAGTGTTGAGGGAGGGACCTGGTGGGAGGTGATTGGATCACGAGAGCAGATGTCCCCCTTGCTGTTCTTGTGGTAGTGAGTGAGTTCTCAGGAGAGCTGGCTGTTTAAAAGTGTGTAGCACCTCCGCCTTTGCTGTCTTTCTCTCCTGCCGCCTTGTGAAGAGGGTGCTTGCTTCCCCCATTGCTTTCTGCCATGATTGTAAGTTTTCTCAGGTCTTATGTGGCCTCACAAGGCCTGTGAGTCTTTAATTGACTCACAATTTAAAGCATGACTTTAAACTATGAGTCAATTTAACCTGTTAAGCCTGTGGAACTTGCTTCCTGTTAAGTCTGTGGAACTGTGAGTCAATTAAACCTCTTTTCTTCATAAATTACCCAGTCTCAGGTAGTTCTTTATAGCAGTGTGAGAATGGACTAACACAGATTTTATGGTAATCTAGCTAAGAGTTTGACTGTTTAATGTGTGCTGTAGCTGTAGGTGCCAAAACCTTCAAATTCCCTTAACATCCTTATTTTTGGCTCCCATCTTTGCTTGGAGTTTGCCTTTGTTCCGCTCCTCAAATTCTGTCTGTGTCTTGCAGCTCTTTCAGCTGTAACCCACTGATGTTTTGCTGGAAGCTTGTTGTCATGGTCCTAAAGTAGGGGAAAAGGGAATCTTCTATACTCTTCAGAATAAATCGCAGTCTGTGTTTTGGAGCTGTAACCTTCATACGTGTTTCTCCACTGGTAAAAGTTTCCTTCCCCTGCCCTCTATTCTCTTCCTTGGCTGCAGTGTTCACCATCTTTTTCCTCGAAGCTCTGGTCCCTGTGATCATCCCCCATAGGTTACACAGAAAGATAAGAGAGAGCTGTAGTTGGGATGAATTATCTTCTCTCTGCTGGGATAATGCTTTGGAGTTGAGCTCTGGCAATGTCCTTTCCCTGGATGCAAGGCCTTTATTATAGAGAAGACTCTAGGCACATTTCCCAATGGTTACTCTTCTTCTCCTTTGCCAGAGCTATAAGGGTTCTTTCCTGGATTCTCATTTTGAAAATCTGGTGGGGTTCTCAGGGGAAAGCCCACAAAAGTGTGGCATTCTTCATGAGACTGCAGCCCCTGGAGGGTTCTCACTGTCTTGCTATTTTACCTTCATTCTCCAGTCATTCATCAAAATTACCACTTAAGTGTTTTTACCAGCTCACGGCTTAATTGGCTTCTGCTCCACATCAGCACCTTTCAGCTGCTCTGTCCCTCTGGATGTGACTTTCCAACCAGATTTCAAGGTGGCCACTTGCCTTGTAACATCAGTTCCGGGAAGGGGTAAAAAAGAAGATTGATTTTCAGCTTGTCAAATTTTATCTTATTTTAAAGATGAGAGTGACAACTTCTAAGCACTACCAGTGTTTCACAGCTGACACTGGATATTCCTTCTCTGCTTATTTGCTTAGGTATTTATCGCAATCTAAGAGGTTTTATCTATTTATTTACTTGTTTATAGTTTTTCCCCCACAAATTGGCGTAAAAAGTTTAGTGCAGGCATGACTTTCTGTCTTTTTAAAAGATTTTTATTGCTGTATCATTAAAATTTAGAATAGTATCTGTTTTATAATATTACTCAATGATGTTTATTGATTTAATTAGTTTATGTTATTTTAAATACATATATATACTCTAAGGTTGTCAAATAACCCTACTTTAAATTAATCTCCTTTTCATTTCCTTCTTTTGATATCTCTTTCATATGCCATTCTGTCTCTATAACATTCTACTTATTGGCAGCAATCCAAGATGAATGCCTGATCATTCATGAAAAGACAATTGGTTGGATGGTGGTTGTTTAGGTAATTCAACCATTTCTGGAATAATTGATTTCAGAGATGAGAAATAATTTTCATCTCATGTACCAATTCTATTAGATTAGTAGTAATTGCTTAGAAAGCTGTGCTATGAAGTCAGATTGGAAATTTCATTGTCAGTGAGGTTTGTTGTTTTACTTGATAGGAAGAAAGAGTTATGGCTCTCTTGGTCTGTATGCACCATCTCTGGCCACTGGCACAAAACCATAAGTTAATAATTTTTAAGTAGGTGGCACATGGCTTCCGTAGGCCTGTCTTAGCTGTGCACTTTCTAAATTAGTCAATCCCTACAACTATGTGTATATAATTTTAATAACATATTAAATACTATTAATATATAATTATATATCATATAATTGCTTATTTAAACAAATAATTTTAACTTGATTTTAGTTCTTTCCAACAAAAGAAAACATTTTTATTTAATTTTTATTTTATTTTAAAATTTTATTACTATCATTTTTGAGACAGGGTCTCTCTCTCTTTCTCTCTCTCTCTCTGTTGCCCAGAGGTCTTGATGTCCTGAGCTCAAGTGATCCATCCACCTCAGCCCCCGCAGTAGCTGGGACTACAGGTGTGTGCCACATTGTCCAGTTCAGAAAACACCTTTAATTTCCAGTAACTAGTGAGCTTTCTATAAATATGATTAATCTTAGTTCATCTTACTTCATTTAACTTGTATTCTCAAATAGCTTATATATGTTAGATTTTTCCATTTGAATCATATTTTCATTAGCCCTATAATATTACATTCACTAGGATCAAATGCAATCAATTTAAAAACTATTTAGATAGATGTGATTTCTGGGAATTCATATTCAGACAAGTGTTTGGAATTTAACATCTTTATTTTAAATGGTGAAAATTTTCAACAACTGGCAGTCTAAAGTTATGAATATAATCACTTAAATCCTTAGGAAAGCCTACCAGATAGCATATCCAACCCAAAATAAGAAGGTGGGTTTTTGTATCTTGTACAGGAGAAGTGTTGAATAGAATATTTTAAACATTTTCTTTTTTCATATTCGTACAACACTATCAGTAAAATCATTTGGACAAAGAGCTTCTAAGTTTCATTTTTAAGTCTAAAAAGTACTAGGAAAATTTTTTCCACTACACATTAATTGCAGAATGAAACATGGTGGCTACTTTTTCTCTTTGTAAAAGCCTTGACACAATGTAGTCTGGCTTCTTGTCACTGAGATATTTATTATTATTATATTATTTGATAATTTTATATTTTTTTTGAATTAAAATTAATTCAGATTACTGGTAGTATTTTCAAAAATTAACAACCCTAAAATAACCTTAAAACAGTTAAATTCAGGGGACTAAACCTGTATTATCTGAAAGCAATGTAGGTTTGATTTGCTGAAAGATAGAGATGAAGCACAGTGAAGTACAATAGGATGTATACCATTGATGTATTTGGATTGAATCCAGGTCTGCTCTAGAAATTCCATTATTTTTATCCCATTGAGTAGTTCAATATAATTGTTTGATACCCTGCCCTTACTGACCTTCTCCTACATCATGCCTGTTTTGGTTCGTTGGGCTGGCATTTAAGGCCTGAGAGTAAAGCATGAAGTAAAATTAGACCTGGTTATATGTTCTAAAATGCCTTAATGCAATTGGATACATTAAAACTTAGCTTAAGAAAATTAGAAGTACATTTCAATTTTAAAAGTCACTAAACTAGAGCTAGTCTCTCTAATATGTCTAGGGACAAGCAATACCTTCCTTTTTCCCTCTCTTGATTTACTTTGCTTTGCTGCTATGGAGGTATTAATTTTGTTCCATCTAGTTTTTAAATATTAATTGCACGTGTCAAAACAAAAAATTTCTCCTGGAACTGGATGTCATATAAAAATGTCATACTGAAAGAAACTGAAACATGAACTGTAAAAGCTTTGGTTAGCTAAATGAATATTGACTGGCAAATACTACATATAATGAAAAGCACTTTATAGGATCTCAATTAATAATATGAAGGCTGCGTCTCAGTTACCAATGTTTTATCACATCTGAAACATCAACAATTTAACATTATTAAGATGGTCGGACTGATCTGAAAGTACCTGTAACCTCCTGTTTAGTCTATCAGATGTGTAAGGACTAGAATAGAGTTAAATATGTAATTCTCTTCACTGTATAGAATTTATTGTGATGGCTAAAGTGCTAGAGCTTAAGCATTTTCAGGTATTTTTTACACCATACAATGAAGAATCAAAAGAAGTTGCATCATGAAATGATTACATCCAAAAGTTATATCACTGGCAACTTCTTTCCTACAATGTTCATTTAACAGCATTTTATGGAATATGTTATATACAAAAAACAGTTCCAGGAAAGATAGGAGGCAACATTTATCGTATACCAAAGATGGTACTAAGCACTTTGCATGGAATAAAGCACTTAATCTTCAGAAGTACTAGAGAAAACATATTTTTATCACCCCCCTTTCCAGGTGCAAAACACCGAGAAGGCACAGAGAGCTTAAGTCACTTGCCGGGCCCCCTAGGGCCACATGATTAGTAAACGGATGGTGGAATTTGGATGAATCCCAGCATACTTTACCCTCAGCCCTGTTCTCAAATATAATAAGCTATATTCTTAGAAACATAACTAGAAGCAAAAGTAATTAAGGAGAGGTTTGAAACATAGTTCATCCACTATGAGTATTAGGTCTCCTCGCCCTGATTTATTTCTTTTGTTGCTGCTGTGTAGATATAGTATGGTAGGCAGAGTAGCAGCTCCCCAAAGATGTCTTTGTCCTAATTACCAAATCTGTGAATATGTTACCTTACAAGGCAAAAGGGACTTGGAAAATGTGATTAAGGATTTTAAGATGAGGAGATTATCCTGGGTTATCCTCATGAGTCCAATGTAACCACAAGGATCCTTACACGTGAAAGAGGGAGGCAAGAGAGTCAGATGATGGAATGTGGGAAGAACCCAGTCCATCACTGCCAGCTTTGAAGATGGAGGAAAAAGATTATAAGCCAAGGAATTCAGACAGACTCTAGAAGCTAGAAAAGGCAGGGAAATAGACAGTGCCCTAGAGTCTCCATAAGGAACACAACCCCGACAACATTTTGATTTTAGTCTTATGAAAGCCATTTCAGGTTCTTGACCTCTAAAACTATAAAAGAATAATTTTTTTTTTTTTTTTTGAGACAGAGTCTACCTCTGTTTCTCAGGCTGGAGTGCAGTGGCACAATCTTGGCTCACTGCAACCTCCACCTCCTGGGTTCAAGTGATTCTCCTGCCTCAGCCTCCCAAGTAGCTGGGACTACAGGCGCCCACCACCACGCCCAGCTAATTTTTGTATTTTTAGTAGAGATGGGGTTTCACCATATTGGCCAGGCTGGTCTTGAACTCCTGACCTTGTGATCTGCCTGCCTCAGCCTCCCAAAGTGCTGGGATTACAGGTGTGAGCCACCCTGCCCAGTCTGATTTGTTGTTTTAAGTCATTAAATTTTTGGTAATTTGTTACAGCAGCAATAGAAAACTAATATATAGGGCCAAAGCAAAATCTTTACCAGAAAGTCTCTCTCCCTCTGTCCCTCTCTCCCTCCTTCCTTCCCTTCCCCTTTCTCTTCCCCTTCCTTCCTTCCTTCCTTTTTCCTCCCCTGCCCCATTTTCTGTAAAAGACTTGGAATGTTTGGGAAACGCATACTTCACTGAACTTTATTACCAACCACCCTGTTTAAGAGATAATCAAAGCACCAATCACTGCATTGCATGCTTTAAACATGCAACGTTCTGTCACCCCAACCCCCTACCGCCCACCCTGATCTCTGATGTTCTCAACGTTAGTTCATTTAAGGCAAAAGATGGATTTTCATTTCAGTTGCCATGCTGATTATGATCAAATGCTAGTGTAATCTTGTAGTATAAGTTTGAGAAAGATTCTGAGGCTGTGATGAGGTTCAGTAGAAAAAAGCACTGTGGTCAATTATCAATGTAAATATTTACCATGAGCCCAGGAGGACAGAAACAATGCCACCACCAGAGGTGAAAGAGTGAGAAGGCCCACTTTAGAGAAATGAAGGAGAATTGAGTCATTGGGAACTTTTAGAGTTTATAAAGAATCTTGGAGGTATTGAGTAAATGGTGAGCGAAGCACCCGAAGGGAAAGATCTTGCCTTATTTCAAATATTTCTTCTTAGAGATTAGTTGGAATGGTATGTCCTGGACCTCATGACTTGCTTAAGAATGTGCATGTCACTGTGTATTTGAATAACAGACTTCCATAGCCTTCAAGGTTTCTAGCTGACTGTAATCCATGCATAATAAGAGTCCCTTTGGCTCAAGAAGATTTACAGACTGTTCAAAACCATAAGTTTTTTTTACTCATTATTACCATTGATAAAACTACTGTCAGCAGCTTTTTGTAGCTACCAAGTATCACAAACTTAAAAGGCATATGGCCCAGGAAAAATTGAAGATTAAGTGGCACAGTTATAAACTTTGGATTGTGTTTGTTGGGCCATAGTTAAATATCAGATTAGTGATTTTTCTCCCTTATCTATCCTAAATCTACTAACTGGCAATCTATTCATGTTGAGTTTATGGCACACAACTTATCACCAATCAAATGAATCTTGTTGTCAGGTTAAAAAGAAAAAAATAAGTGCTGTGTGAGTATTCCAAAATATAGATTCGTAACATATAATAATCATTTAAGACTCAATATAAATGTCTGTGGTTACATATATGTAGGGCATAGCACATAGAGAAGTGGAAAGAGAGTAATGTTTTAGGATTGATATACAGTGAATAGCTTTGCATAAAAAATTAAGAATCTTCTGAACCTACCTTAAATAAAGCATCCGGCACATGATAGAGATGGGTCACTTGCTCTCATAAATCTGGCATTTAAACTGAACTAGTTATGAATATTCCTGACAGAAAGATTTAGCTGTATGCCTCGTCCCCCCCACCAGTGACTAAATAATTAGTCTTTCAGTTAATCTTCATTACCATTGTCATCTTCCACCTTGTCCTTTGAAAACAAGATTGAAATAGAAGGATATCTAGAAATTCATGTTGAGAAATATGAGGGCTATAAGCCATTCATATGACAAAGGTGCTTAGAAGAGACAGCAAAAGTTATTTCATCTAATCTATAGATACACCAATGTTAAATTGATTAAAATTTCAAAGGAGATTTCAGCTCATGTTAATTCTGATGAATAGTCCATAGACAGCAAAGGGTAAGATGAAATACAGGCTAGGGGGAAGCACTAAATTGTCTTTCACATTCTTTGTAGCTCTCTATTGTTCCTGCTCCCTGCCTCCCAATGTATCTAGCTATTATTTCAATCTTACGGCTCAAATTCGCTAATGGAAAGGAGCTTAGGTGGTATGAACTAAAGTCACAGATATGTCTTTTGATTCTCTCATGGGTTCTATAAGAGAACAAGAGGCTGGGCTTGGTGGCTCACGCCTGTAATCACAGCACTTTGGGAGGCCGAGTCTGGCAGATCACGAGGTCAGGAGCTCGAGACCAGCCTGGCCAACATGGTGAAACCCTATCTCTACTAAAAATAGAAAAAATTAGCTGGGTGCGGTGGCGATCACCTGTAATCCCAGTTACTCGAGAGGCTGAGGCAGGAGAATTGCTTGAACCCGGGAGGCAGAGGTTGCAGTGAGCAGAGATCTCGCCACTGCACTCCAGCCTGGCGACAGTGCGAGACTCTGCCTCAAAAAAAAGGAAAAAAAACAAAAACAAACTAGAACAAGAGAGACTGATGGAAACTTTTTCTTAGGAGTTAAATACTCCATTAACAGAGGGCAACTTCATTTAAGCACTATTGGCTGGTAAATCACCAGAAGTAGAAGTCTGTTTATTTACAACAAACAAAAATCAAAACTAAAACTAATTATAATACTACTTATTTAGCATTTACTAGGCACTTGGCAATTTGATCACATGTTGTCTAATTTTTACCACCATCCTACCCTATAGGTATTAATTTCCTTTAATCGATGAGAAAATTAAGGGCAAAGAAATAAAGTAACTTGTTCAAAGTAATTGCAAGTTTGTCGTTGAACAGGAGCTTAAAATGATATTTGTAAGATTTCAAGCAAAAATTGTCAGATGGTTTTACTTGTTTGAAGCATATCACAGTGACTTCTTTTTTTTGGTGAATCGAGGAAAAAGGGGCATTGAGAAAAATTAGGCTATGTGGAGAAAATTTAAAGTAAAAGGAAATAAACTTAATCAGAGGAATATAGTGTTTGCTTAAGGTTAGATTGTTAACCTGCAATTATGCTACTCATAGCCATTTTATTAATTAAAATAAACCTCTTTGGCTGCACATCTGTCCAGGAATCACAAGTTTCTGTATAGGCAAGTTGCATTGATATTAGCTCTTATAAAATACAAATTGAAGCTATTGTTAAAATACTGAGGTTTCATCCTTTTTTGTTTTTACATTACAGACAACTTTTTAAGGAGGTTCTCTGAGCTCTTTACCTGACCTCCATTCTTTGTTTTCATGAGTCCGTAAACAGAAGCTTTACTGGCACTCAACCATAGTGAATCTTTTCAGTGAAATTTAGAGAATTCATCTTCCTGTCAATAACAGATTTAAGAAAGTTTTGTTTTCAATAGTCTTACATAACCTGAGTCACCTATTTTTCCGTACTTTCTTTCAGGACCTAGTATCTAATTCAAGCAAGAACATCTTGTATTGTCACCAAGTGATACATTTATTTATGAAAAAAGGTGTTGCTCTTTTTTCATTTAGATATAAATAAATGCATTTTTCTTCCTTGACATAAATTAATTAGTTGCTTTTCTGTCCCAGACATC
The DNA here is from genome assembly GCF_000001405.40 of Homo sapiens. Classification (NCBI taxonomy): domain Eukaryota; kingdom Metazoa; phylum Chordata; class Mammalia; order Primates; family Hominidae; genus Homo; species Homo sapiens. The sequence goes on along the minus strand of NC_000005.10, from coordinate 92,767,518 downwards.
TATGACATGAGAAGAATGTAAATCCACAACTATCAAGGTGATTAACATTGTAAACAGAAGAGTTGCACTAGAGAAGTCCAGCAATAAATTTATAAACTTTTAAGTCTATCATAAGCTAATAAAATATGTTGTGAATTAAAAGGAAAAAGAAAACTCATTTGATTTCCAATGAGTTACTCTCTAGTTATGCTATGTTATCTTCCATGTATCTTCCTGTCACAGTAAGCTATTAAAACTGAAGTAATTGGTTACTTTAACACACAAAATTGTGACATTTTCAGTGGCCAATCTGGAAGAAACTAATGCCTTTGCTCTTAGGTGCCCCTTCCTTGGTGGTGAAGTTTCTTCTAATCAGGTTAGAACATTAGTTAAGACCATTATGATTTAACAGTAGAAAGCTTTGGCATCTATTTTAGAGATGTAAATATTTTGAAACTAAACAGCAACACAAAAGCATAGAAGTTGGGCTCTTTTCAAAAGTTAGGTTCAGGGAAGCATTCAGTCACTCCTTCTTAAGATACTTTTAACTTAAAACCTGGATTACTGTAAATCACCGAAGAGTATCTAATTAGGTGAAATTAGTTCAAGTCAGGAAGAATAAATATGGGGTGCTTCATCATGCTTCCAGTCAAGAAGGACATTGCTATTTGAGGCCACACCGATTCTAGAACTGGCTATAAACTCGTTTTGGAGAGTATTGTGTTTGCTATGTTCCCTGGAATCACATTCATAAAGTTGTATTTTAATATTACGTTGCTAAGTTTTCTTAGAGGATGTTTAAAAAAACTCATAATAAAATTTCTGTTTGAATTGGCCATACAAATTTTGAGGACATGAATCTCAAGAATAAACCTTGTCTCTCCCTGATAAATTTAAATTCTTCCTCCTTTCTAATAAGATCACATAACTATATGCTATGGTCTGAATGTGTCCCCCAAAATTTATGTGTTGAAAATAATCTCCAGTGCAACAGTGTTGGGAGGTGGGGCCTACTGGGAGGTCTTTAGGTCAGGAAAGCTCCATCCTCATGAATGGGTTAATGCTGTTACAAAAAGGTTTTTGGGAGTGGATTCCCTCTCTTCCACTCTTTTGTTATGTAAAGACACAATGTTCCTCTCCATTTGCCTTTCCACCTCCTGCCATGTGAAGGTGCAGCAAGAAGGCCCTCACTAGACACCAGATGCGTGCCTTGATCTTGGACCTCCCAGCTTCCAGAACCATGACAAACAAATTTCTATTATTTTATAAATTACCCAGTCTCAGGTTTGGGTTATATATAGCAGCATAAAATGGACTTAGACACAATGCTTTTCATTTTTATTTCACTACTGGAAAATTCAGATCCAGACTTTTTTTTTTTTTTTCTTTTTTTTGAGATGGAGTCTTGCTCCATGTGGCGTGATCTCAGCTCACTGCAGTGGTGTGATCTCAGCTCACTGCAATCTCCGCCTCCTGGGTTCAAGAGATTATTCTGCCTCAGCCTCCCCAATAGCTGGGACTGCTGTCATGTGCCACCATGTCCGGCTAATTTTTGTATTTTTAGTAGAGACAGGGTTTCACCATGTTGGCCAGGCTGGTCTTGAACTCTTGATCTCGTGATTCGCCCGCCTAGGCCTCCCAAAGTGCTGGGATTACAGGCGTGAGACACTGCGCCTGGCCCAGGCTTTAGGCAAGCACAATCACTTTAGATATGCTTGGGCCATACACCATCAGCTAGAAAAATGCCTACTATTTTTTCAGTGATGTTTTCATTGAAAAAAGAGAATTCTTGTTCCAAGTAAACTTTCACATATTTGAATGCTTAATATTTTAAAGCTCATGCAATGCATTAAATATTAATGATGACATAAGAACTTGGGTTTTTGAGGTTCTTAATCCCTTGACCCAAATCCATTTGCATAGACATACCTCTTTGTATTGTGCTTTACAATTATTGTGTGTTTTTCAAATTGAAGATTTATGACAACCTTGCATCAAGCAAGTCTATTGGCACCATTTTTCCAACAACACTGTGTCCCTGTGTCACATTTTGGTAATTCTCACACTTTCAAACATTTGTGTTGCATAATTAAGGCAGGTTTTACAAAAGAAACACTTGTTCCAAACTTTATGCAGATTCTTCAAATTTTAAAATGATGATGATGATGATATAATAAAAATATAACAATAACTACACAAAAGATCCACTCATTTTTAGTGAGGAATTTATTGACTTACCATGTAGATTCTGTATAAACTAGATTTTTGTAATCGATTTCAGCACAACACAAAATATGTGAGAGCCAAGTAAATCTTGCTATTTCTTATTATTGTTAGCCTTAACTCATCATTTTGAAATTTAATTTTTTACAAGTTACCTCTTTAAAGTTCTCTGAGAGCAGTAACAGTGCGATCTCACTCCCATAGTAAATTTCTGTCATATAAAAGAACCAGTAAGTATGTGATGAATTAGTATTTGTGGATAAGAAGTATAACTGATTTTTTAAAAATGCTGTAATACATCAAAACTATTCAGAATAACTGAATCATGATATCTTTTCAAATTACCACTATTAAGAAAAATTCTGTATTTCATATTTCTATTGTTACATGTTTCTATAGGGTATAATGTGTTATGTATTATATATTTGATATAAATCATTATAAATATGTTTATGTACATATATGTTATATATATTCATTATGTATATACATTCAACTTATTCTCCTTAAAACACTAAAACTTTTAATAAAATAATTACAAGTAAAAGTTAAAGTAGCAGCTAAGTTTAAAAAATGGTGTTTGGGTCAATTCCTCTTCAACAAGGAAATTAACTATTATGGTATTATTTTTAAGATAAATTTTGGAAAATTTACAAATTTTTCAGTTCTTTAGCCTTCTACAGAAAATCAGCAGAATGTCTTGAACATGCAGGGGAGTAAGGATGCAGAAAATAATTGCCATGCAAAACAATTCAATTGGGATCTAAATTTCTAAACAAACCTGCTGTTTCATCATTTTATATTAAGCCCTGTTAAAAATAGTGCTTTAATCCTAATTCTCCCTCCTGAATTATTAAGGCATAAACACACAGAGAAATGTATGTAGAAGAAAGTGAAAAGCATTTATAATCCCAACATCCAGAGATAATTATTATTAACATGTTGGCGTGTAAATAATGATCCCCAACCAAAAGCAACTTAAATGTCCATTAGACAAAGTGTGTAATATCTATATGATGGAATACTATTCACCAGTTAAAAGGAACAAACACTGACATATTTTAAATCATAAACGAACTTAAAAAGTAACATGCTAAGTGAAAAAAGCCAGAATGCGAGATCACATACTGCATGATTCAATTTATATAAAACGTCCAGAAAAGCCATATTTATAGAAACAGAAAGTAGATTGTTGGTTGCTAAAGACTGGTAATGGGAAAGGGGATTAACTAACTTTAAGAGGGCAAGAGGAAGGTTATTGGGGGTAATAAAATGTTCTGAAATTGATGTATACTGATGGCTTTACCACTACCTGGTAAAGTTACTGAAACCATTGCATTGTATATTTGAAATCAGTAAATTTTATGATATAAATACCCGATAAAGTGGTTAAGAATATATATGTTGATATAAAACTTTCTCAGCCTTCTCTAATGAATATAAAGGCCCATAATACATATGCTGGTTTACTACACACACACACACACACACACACACAAACATGCATATTTATTGAGCATATACAATGGACATTTTCTACTTTAGCATAGTGCTACATCGCCATTTTTGATGAACTATAATACACTATTGTACAGGTATACAATAATTAATTATTTTTCTAGTGTTTCATTTTTTACATACTTGTAAATAACGAGAATGTTTTAATTTATGCGAATAACCAAACCAATGTGTGAAGGTATATAGATATATCATTTTCTCAATTTTTCTTATATGTATATCTATATATCTTTACACATTGTTTATTTGCATAAATTAAAATCCTATAATTTGAAATTCTGAAAGTAGCAAAATTATGTATATATTCATACATAAAATTATGTATTATTCCTATCTATATCTATTTTTCTATTAGCAGATTGTCCTCAGAAACATTGTACCAATTTTTATTTCATCTTTATATAGTGGGAATAGACATTTACCTTACCCTTAGAAGGAAATGGATAGTGTCAATCTTATTAAATCTAAGCCTATCTTTAAAATATTAATACAGTGCTACATTAATTTCTAGTATCTACATGGAGAGGTTAAACATCTCTTTACATATTGCATGTTCATTTGCATTTCTTCTTTTGTGAATTGCCTATTTGTTTACCATTATCATTTTTTCAATTAAGTTGTTTGTTTTTAATTTATTGCTTGGTAAGATTTATTTATTGATTAACATTATTAATAATACATACTTCATATAGTTTTCAAATATTGTTTATAATTTTTTCTATTTAACATTTTAAATATTTGTTTGTGATATGAAAGTTTTACACTTTTATGTAATCAAATCTATTAAATTTTTGAATTGGTTTTTCTTTTTGACGTTATGCTTAGGAAATCTTCCCTCTTCCAAGGTTATAAAAACATTCACCTAATTTTTTTTCAGTACTTCTTTGGTTTTCATGTTAATTTAAACTTCAATAATTCTTAACTTAAGGTTTGTGTGGTGGCTTATGCCTTTAATCCCAGCATTTTGGGAGGCTGAGGCGGGCAGATCACTTCAGGCCATAAGTTTGAGACCAGCCTGGCCAACATGGTGAAACCCTTTCTCTACTAAAAATACAAAAATTAGCTGGGCGAGGTGGCACACACCTGTACTCCTGGCTACTCAGGAGGCTGAAGCATGAGAATCACTTGAACCTGGGAGGTGCAGGTTACATTGAGCTGAGAGTGCACCACTGCACTCCAGCCTAGGCAAAAGAGTGAGACTCCGTCTCAAAAAAATAAAGAAATTTGTAATTTAGTTCTGTATAAGTATTATGCAAAAAATCCAACTCTACTTCTTACCTTTATGACTCAGTTTTAGCAATAGTGACTGAAATAATCTATTTCTTCCCTAACTTAGTTTGAAGTCCTCATATGGGTTTCAGCTAATTTTGAGAAAGTACAAGTAGTATAAATCTCTGGCATGGTATTCTAATTCCTGGGAGACAATTTTGCAGCTGTTAGTTATTGTCACCAAAATCAATAAAAATTTAGGGCAACGTTTTCTATTTCAGAGATGAACTGGGAACCTCGTCCCTAGAGATGCAGATTGGCACTTGACAGCGAGTTATCTAATACGAGAGATGCAATGCCTTTTGTTACTTCACATAAACTTCTACTTCATCACTGATTTGGAGTGAATTCTCTCTGTGTATCACTCCTTTCTGGATAGGGGATATTTAAATTTAAAAGAAAATGTACAAATCCCTATGAATTATGATAGATATAATAAAACTAAATATAAAAGATTTTATTTTACATTTATATAAAATAATATGGTACTTAAAGTACAGCATTTAGAGCAAGCACAAGTTGCCATGCTTTATGATGTTTCATAGAATATGTACATGTATTTGAAGACAAATTATAAAGAAAAATGTGAAGAAACCACTTGCCTTCTAGCCCAGGGTAGAAAGGGCCCGTGGCTAGAATAAACACTGGTATCTATTGAGTGTTTTCTAGTTGGTAGGCACTGTTCTAAGCAATTTATACATGTTGACTCCTTTGATCCTCACAATAACTCTATTATGAGTCCATTGAAGCACCAAGAGATTAGGTAACTTGCTCAAGGGCTCACACTTATAAAAGGCAGAGCCTAGATTAACTCCAAGCAGTCCGCTCTCAAGTCCACATCCTTAACCACTACTTTGCCTCTCTCTAAAGACTCCAGTGATTCCCAGCTCTGTATCCTTAATGGCCTTGTGCTCTTGGAATGTCACCTGCTTATGCAGACTTAAGTTTCGGCTTTTACTAAAAGGGTTGATATACAGACTGATTTCTTCACAGTATAAATACAAAAAACAAATTAAAATGTTGAGCATACTGCTAACAAGTTAAAACACAATGCAAAAGACGAGTTTCCATCAGCATTACAAAAAAAAATTCCTAATCATTTTATGCTGTTCATAATGAAAGCCCAGAGTAATGGCTGTAGACTTTATACTTACATATACATCCCACACTTACTCATCTATCATTCATTCAAGTAATAAAATAGGAGAGCTTATTAGGAGTCAGTCTTTGTAAGTGTTGAAAATATGGTGATGAACAAGATAGTAAAAGTCCCTTCTTACATGGAGCTTTCGAGAAGTTTGGGTAGGAGAGGAGGGCTTTGCAGAAAATAATCAACATTTTAAGAAATGTAGAGTTCCAAGATGATGCTGATTAAATTAATCCAAAAGAAGCATAATTTTCCATACTTAATACCATGAAAATCAATTCAACTGGAGAAAAATTTTGTGAAATTCTTTTCAAAATTAAAACCATATCATGTTAGAAAGCAGAGTAATTCTGTAATGTGGAAAAATGTTTTAAAGCTGCTACATCTCAAATCACTATTGATGAAAGTTATGTCACTCTAGAAAAAGATTCTTAACAACAAAACTAAGACTGAATACTGTGTAATATCAGTGTGTATTTTTTTCTATTTTAATGCTGGGTTAAAAGCTAATACTTGAGAACTAAGATTTTGAGCCTGACTATAAACCAAGGATAGCAGTAACCAAGTAAAAACTTTCAGTTTCCTGTTTCGGAGGAAGCAGGCAACAGAATTAGCCAAATTGCCAATTAAGCATTTTGTCAATACCTGAGAACAAAATATTAGATTCAACTAATCTTAATAATTAGCCAGGAAAAACAACAGAACTTCCATCAAGTAAGATAAATAGGATTTGTAATACCAGTAGATCTATTTTACTGCAAGATCAATAAGCCAAAATGTTAATCTAAGCCTAGACTTTGGTTTTGTTTTATAGTTGTCGACTTAGCTAGATAGTGCCCCAAAACCAATGTGACCAGAAAAGGAAGGAAGCTAAGTAGAAACCATACTCCAAGACAAATTGCAAGATGTTAGTAATCTTTTAAATATCAATACCTTGCTAAGAGATATTCTACATGGTAGTGAGTCTGTCCTCTTATTTCCTCAAGGGCTTCCTTACTGTAGTTCATTTATATGCATTTCTATATTAATGTATGTATTTTTCTAGATACCCCAGCAGTAACTTCTTAACACCAAAATCTAATGAACAAGGTTAAGCTATGAATTTCTGAATTTTAATATGAAATATTAAAACCAACTCATTTAAAAACACCCCCAAATGTCACCATCAGCCATTATCCAAACTGGATTAGCTAAGTCAACTGCTTCCAAGATCTTCAATTCTCATATCTACCATTTTCATGTTTTCTGTCTCCCAAATATGACTGAGGTTAACTCCTTAATTTGGTATCTCAGTATCTTGTGTGTTTCCTGACATTGGCCTGTCTGCATTTTGGACTAGAATACCAGTGTCCTCAGAGTATAACTGGTGCCTTTTTATTCACCATTGCATCATCTTCTTATACTGGGGCTGACATAAAATAAGTGTTCAATAAATCTTTATTTCATAAAAGAAATAAAACAACAAATACATATTCCTAGTAGTCTGATGTGTTATTAGTGATTAATATTTTGAAAAAGTGAATTCAATCTAGTAAGATGAGTTAGAGATTTCAGAACAGGAAGAAGTACATTTGAAATGTTAAGAGTTGTATTCTGTTAGTTTTTATAGTTTTACATCCACATGATGTATGGGATGCTGTTTAATTAATTAAAATACTTTCATCTTTAAAGGTCCAAAAGACCAATCAAGATAATACTTATAAGAAAACTTAAGATTGCTGTTGGCACTAACAATTATTCCCTCTTTGTCCCCACCCCTCCCACCAACACACATATACACACACAACAAAATCTTGGCATTCAAAACACACAACAAAAACATGGTGTTCACAATTTCCAACTAATTCAACAGTGCTAAAAGTTTTAGGAGGAAGCTTTTCAGAGATGGAGCATGTAGAAACTTTCCTCCTTGTCTTTTAATCAAAGGAAGGATTCATTCCCAAAAGCTGTCCATCTGGTTCCTTTCATGAGCTCTAAATTTACATGATAAAAAGGCAGAAATATAATTAATATATTTTTCAATAAGAGACAGTTTTAGGCATGTACTTCAGCAATGAATTGTGAAAGATTTGACACATCTAATTTTGAAATAGATGTTTCCACCCTGAGAAGGATGAAGGAGAAGGCAGGGCCTGCAGCCTTTTGCTTATGCGAAGATCTCTTTAGTGATCTATAGCTGCAATCCATGAGAGGGTAGTTTCAATTTTGCTCTTGAAACATGTATCAAACCCTATTTCCAACATAGTCTTTCCTGTCACACATTTCGCTGATTCTAAATCAGTGAAGGAGCTATGTCTTCTGGCAGGATTACTGCATTTGAATCTCTTCTCTTTCAAATCCAATCTGCAATTGCTAAACCTGGCAATCTGCATTTTAAGAAAAAAATGGCAGTGATTGTCATAATTTTATGCCATTAATATTCCTAAGAAGTGAAATTACCAGAAAAGAGCCTACTATAGTACAGAGAAAATATGGGAGAGAAGCCCATAGTATATTTTCAAAAGTGAAAAGTCTAGGAGGAAGCAGGATATGATTGTCAGTCTTTGAAGGTTAGATACATTGATTTCACTGCAGAAGTTCAGTCACAACAACATCAGCATGGGACTGACACATACAAAAAGAGAAAGAAATGTATAGTTGCTGAGTAATATACTGGAAACTTGAGACGTCTGAGTCATAAATACCAGATTTACTAATAACTGTTGCATGGCAAACCACTTAATTTCTGTCAGCATTTTCTATAAAATATTAGACATTGGTTGAATCTACCTAATGAAATTCTTTTGATTAGTGCCTAAACTGGCACTAGGAATGATATTACAGGAATGAGGCTTATAGTTTGGGGGTTTGTTCTTGCTCCTTTTTCATTGATAACAGATGCCTATAAATTGAAAATTAATTATTCTTACCGTATAGCCCTTCAAGGTGTTGTCCAACAGGGATGTCCAGGATGCTGACAGTTTGAGAGAAGTGTATTAGGATACAATTCTGTTAGAAGCTTTCACAAATACATATAAAAACATAATGAGGCCGGGCACTGTGGCTCACGCCTGTAATCCCAGCACTTTGGGAGGCTGAGGCGGGCAAATCACAAGGTCAGGAGATGGAGACCATCCTGGCTAACATGGTGAAACCTCGCCGCTATTAAAAATACAAAAAATTAGCCAAGTGTGGTGGCACACACCTGTAATCCCAGCTACTCGGCAGGCTGAGGCAGGAGAATCACTTGAACCTGGGAAGTGGAGGTTGCAGTGGCCGAGATCGCGCCACCTCACTCCAGCCTGGGGGACAGAGAGAGACTCCATCTCAAGACAAACAAACAAACAAACAAAATAATGAACCAGATTCTTCTTCATAGGTTAATATGAGTTGGTAGAAAAGGTTTGAAAACAAACATTGTTGTTAGAATATATTTATGGAAAGAAGAGAGAAGTCACTTATGCCTGCATATCCATGCCAACTGCATATTTTGAGTAATGGCAAGTTATTGTCTCATATGGCTTAGAAAGCACAACCTAGGCTTCCTAGGCTGCCATGTCCAGAAAATACTGCCTGGTATGGCAAGAGAATTTACTTTTGAATATACACCGCAGTCCATCCAGGAAACAGACATTTATGGAAATTTGAACCCAGTTAACTCTTGACTGAAGGTAGGGAAAAGTTATAATGTATAAGAAAAGAAGACATTCTAAATAGAAACTAATCATAACTATTAGTATAGTCATTCTATCAAAGAACCAGAAGTTTTTGACTAGAATCTTTTTAGTGGGTCCTCTCCTCTCCTCTCCTCTCCTCTCCTCTCCTCTTTCTTTCCTTCCTTCCTTTCTTTCTTTCTTTCTTTCTTTCTTTCTTTCTTTCTTTCTTTCTTCCTTTCTTTCTTCCTTTCTTTCTTTTTCTTTCTTTTTCTTTCTTTTCTTTCTTTTCTTTCTGTCTCTCTCTTTCTTTTCTTTCTTTCTTTCTCTCTCTCTCTTTCTTTCTTTTTCTTTTTTTCAATCAGAAGCGGATTGACCTGTGTATTCAAATCAGCCCCCTTTAAATATGTGAACAGTTTTGTTCATTTTGAGTGCCTAACTCAATTTTCCCCATAAATATCCAGTTATAAGCAACACTTTAAATTAGTGTTTGAAAACCATATTCCCTTCTCATTTTATACATGTTTAAATTGTATCTGCAAGAAGGGCGTTGGGAATCTGTAGTTTTTTTTTTTTTTTTGAGATGGAGATTTGCTTTTGTCACCCAGGCTGGAGTGCCATGCCCAATCTTGGCTCACTGAAACCTCTAACTCCCGGGTTCAAGCAATTTTCTTGCCTCAGCCTCCCCAGTAGCTGGAACTACAAGTGCATGCCACCACTCCCGGCTAACTTTTTGTATTTTTAGTAGAGACAGGGTTTCACCATATTGGCCAGGCTGGTCTTGAACTCCTGACCTCAGGTGATCCACCCACCTCAGCCTCTGAAAGTGCTGGGATTACAGGCGTGAGCTACTAGGTCCGACTGGGAATCTGTATATTTTAAAATAAAAATCCCAAATGGGATTCTGAGACAAGTTAGGGAAACAAAGTCCCAAATTATTGCCTTTTTCTAATACCTGTGAGTGGTCAGAATTCCACATATTGGATAAATATATTTAATCTTCTTGTTTTATACTGACGGCAATGTAGGGGCTGATTCCTCGAAGGTGACAGTAAGTGACAATCTATGTTAATAATTATGTTGTTGAATGCTAACATAATTTAGATCAAAAATTCTGAATAACCTAAACTATTTGTGCAATTTATGAGAAAAATGATTTGTCCTTCTTTGGACTCACTATGTACTTTTTAGTAGATGTTCTGAGTGACTTGCATTTCTCTGATCAACCAAATTACATGAAAAATGTTAAATCGGATTGGTGATCTGTCATCACATTTTAATAGCTCTTAGGCATTTATATTTTTATAATCTTGTGTTAATTACTAACTGCCCTATTTGTGGGAGAAAAATAACTAAGGGAATGAAGACTAGGAATTAGTTTTGGTATTTAGTCAATAAGTTTGATATTTGATGCTATTTGTCCTTAGGTTGCTAAATACATTTATTCACACACTATTACAAGGTAAACAAACAAAACCAAAAAAGGGTGAGAAGGTGGAATTTAATCTTTTAATAATCTATTTTCCAAACAAAAGTTTGTAATATAAAAGTGTCAGCTATATTTTCTTCTAAAAATTTCCACAATGTCACCTACCATATGATGAAATTATCTATTAATTAAATCACTGGTGATTTAATGAATAATTGAAAATCTACTGTGGGTTAAAAGCTGGAGAAAATAAGTCAGACTCAGCTCTTACCTTCCTGGAGTTCATAGTCAGGATGGAGTCAGGTGGTGGATGGGGTTTATTACAGATTTGCAAAAGTTCTGAAGCAAGGAAGAAAGTGATGCTTTTACAAAACTACTTCCAGGGCCATGGATACAGCTACGGGTGCAGGAGGGAACATAGTCTTGAGGCTGACCTACCTCCCTGTTTTCACTGAGGGCACACTCCTCCTTGGAATGTACATTTCTGTTCATCACACATTTTGTGGAAGTCCCAGTTTTCTAGGTCTTTTATTACCAGGATAATCAGACCTACCATGCAGTGCCCATCCCCCAGCCTAATGTCTTCAACTTCTACAATGCTCTGATCCACAAAGACTTCCAATCTATAGTAGTCTAGGCTCTTCAGGCCTAGCTTCATGAACATACGACCTGCCCTGCATAGACAGGTCAATGCTTAGTTTAATGCTTCACTGCCACCATCTTGAAATTTTAAATAATTTACTCTTGAAATTTAAACAATTTTTAAACAAGGGGTCTCACATTTTCATTTTGCATTGGACCCTGATAATTTTCTAGAAGTCCAAATTACCTGCCCTGTAACTGATGCATTGGATTCTTGAGATTTGAGGGATTCATTTTGGCCTACAATTGTTAATTAAAAATTAATTAATTGTTAATTAAAAATTAACAATTGTTAATTCAACTCTCCAAACAGTGGTGCATTTTTAAAAGATCTTAGAAATTTTACCTTCTCAGAGAGGTTTTACTCAACTACCATTTTTAAAGTTCCATCTACTCAGTCACTTTCATTCATGTCATTGCTTATTATCACTAGTACATCTAGGATAATATTGAACTATTTTGCTTTTTAAAATTTATTTCTCTGCTGTAAGTATGCTTCATGAAGGGAAGGACCTTATTTAGTCTTATTCACTACTTTGTCTCCATGCCTTACAGTATGAGCCAATATTTATTGATTAAGTAAATGAATGTATGAAGTTCAGTGAATCTGAAGGCTAGGAAGCATGAGAGTGAGTGAGATGAGATAAAGCTGTCAAAATTAGGAAGACACACAAATAAGGGCTGTTTGTCCTTAGCCTCTCAAAGAGGGAAGATATACATTGGAGTGATTTTTTTTTTCAATGTTAGAAAGTTTGAAATTACATTTTTGTTTAAAACTGCCTTTCCTGATAAAAACCTATTTTTCATTATAAATCATCATATATCCTGGTACTTTACATAGAGGAAAAAATAAGAATAATTGATATTTTAAGGTTTTTGGACTTCAGAATATTTTAATACTCTCCTTAAATGTGCAACAAACACTATATTTTGAATATGAGACTAAAACAGACCAATTATCCTCAGTTTGGTGCTATTTAAAAAATATAGCTGCCATTTTGCTAGTATTTCTACCTTTTTCTCAGGAAATATAAAAAAGGAAGAAGAAATAATATCTAAATTAAAATCTCAATGGTCATTGTGTATATCACCAAATTTCCACATCATTCAGCACATGATAGTAACTGTAGTCCAAAATTATACTATTTTTTCTTATGAACATCTTTTCTTTCTTGGGCATGTATTCTTTTCTCTGAAAAAAATTATATATTCAGTTAAAATGATCTTATAATCAAGTGAGTAGGCGTATAGAAATGTCAAATAGGAATGATAATATTTCCCACCTACTTGCCTTCACAGGGTGCTCTGAGAATTGATATGAAAATGTCTTTGAAGTGTTTTGAATTACTTGGAAGAAAGATATAATATAAATACAGAGTTGCATTTTTGAAAGTATGATTCCAATGGTCCCTCTGATAAGTCCCGTCACTTTTGAGCTAGAAGAGTTATAGTCACTTTCTTGTCCTAACTGCTCCCCATGGACTTGAAGCCTAGAGAAATGATCTTTTTGCATGCCACTGTGATACCTTTTATTTTTCAAGCAAGAGCGGACATTGATTCAGTGGATACTTAGCATTGATTTCATAGGTTTGGGTATTAAAGATGCTGTACTGACATCTCAATGTATTAGCTGGCTAAGGCTGTCATAACAAAATACCACAGACCACGTTGCTTAAACAGCAGAACTTTATTTTCTCACAATTCTAGATACTAAAAGTGTGAGATCAAAGTAACAGTACGTGTGGTTTCTCTGAGGCCTCTCTCCTTGGCTTGCAGATGGCCATCTTCTCCCTGTTTCTTCATGTGATCTTCCCTTTATATCTCTGTGTCCTAGTTTTCTTTGGAAAATCAGTCCTGTTGGATTAAGGCTCACCCTAATGACCTCATTTAAACCTAATTACCTATTTAAAGACCACATCTCCAAATACAGTGGCATTCTGATGTACTCAGGGTTAGAACTTCAAAATATAAACTTGGTGACAATGCAATTCAGTCCATAGCACTGGGTTTGGGCCTAACGTGGGTTAGGGCTTAGCATGAAGCATGGGCTGAGCCTAGCATAATGTTGCTTATTAGTTATTCTATATACCCAAACTATGGCCTTTTAATGCTTCCCATCCTTGGAATAAAATGTAAACCCCTTCCTACAACCCACGTGGACCTGTAGCTCTGGCTTTGGTCACGTGCCATTATCCCTTTCCACTCGCTTTTTTTCCAGACACTGTCCTCCTTTTAAGTTCTCAAACAAATCCAGCCCTTTCTTTCAAGATCTTTGCAATTGTCTTTGTCAGGTAGGTTCTTTTCTTTTCTTTTCATTCTTTCTTTCGTTGTTTTTTCTTTTTTCTTTTAAGACCGAGTCTCACTCTGAGTCAGCAGGCTGGAGTGCAGTGGCACGATCTCAGCTCACTGCAACCTTCACCTCCCGGGTTCAAGCAATTCTCCTGCCTCAGCCTCCCGAGTAGCTGGGACTACAGGTGTGCGCCACCTCGGCCAGCTAATTTTTGTATTTTTAGTAGAGACAGGGTTTCACCATGTTGGCCAGGATGGTCTGGATCTCTTGACTTCGTGATCCGCCTGCCTCAGCCTCCCAAAGTGCTGGGATTGCAGGCATCAGCCACTGCGCCCGGCAGACAGGTTCTTTTCTAAGCTCTTCATATCACCTCCCCTCAGGTCTTAGCTTAATGTTATCTTCACAAAGTGGTCTTCTCGGCCACATAATGTAAATTAGTCCTAGTAATATTTATCACCTTTTTCTGTTCATTTCCTGTATAATCTGTGAGAGAAAAAAAGCAGTAGCTTTTGATGCTTAAGAACTGCTATGACACTCAAACCTAAGCCTCAATATTATTATTAGAATATTATTAATACAAACTGATCTGACTTTTATAGCTAAGCCATGTTGTTCTCCTGTTGAACATAAAATTCTCACTGAACATTCCCATCTGGGCAAATGGGTCACTGGGTAATCCACAAAACAACAACCAATCCCCTTTCTTACTGAGTGGCTACTGCTTTTCTAAACCAGTTACAGTTTTAACCCTGCTCTAATCTGCCCTTCCTGCAGATAAGATTTATTGAGATATTCAAGGGTATAAAATCACCCCTGCTCTATGACAGAACTCAATCTAGAGTGATCTTGTTCCCTTAACCTCCTCCCAGTGTTACCCAACTAGAGCACAAATCCCTTAATAGTTTTTGTCTAATGTGCTCTCACTGAGATGCACTACGCTTCCCTAAGGCGTATGCTCTCCCTCCCTGCAACAGGTAATACACACAACGTGCTCACCTGCAGGTGTTCCTGGTAATCTTGGGCTGAGTTAACTGTGGTCTAGGTTGCTTATTTGGAAGTGCAAGCTACCTGAGGGAAAGACCTAGGCTTTCTTCTTCACTTCTTCATTGCTAGAAGCTTTCACAACTTTCACTTTGCCAGGCACATATCAGGACCTCAGTTAATATTTGATAAATGAATGAATCAATCAATGCCAGAATATTTGTGACTTTAGTTTATATACCCTTCAGTGCCTCTTATAAATTTTAGGCTTTTCTGGTAATATTATTGTACTATGAGGGGCAGCATATTTCTTGATAAGGGACTGACATATTGTAAATGGTGTATGAGGAAGTTTATTCCTGCTGCTGGAGAAAGAACGGATTCCACAGAAAAGAAAATAAAGATTATTGTGTTAGGTAATGAAAATGAGGTTTCAGATGGATGCTAGGGTAAAGTAAGCACATGGCCTGTTTGAGAAATATACTACATAGTAGTGTATCTTGAACATATATTGGTTATAAGGAGCCAAGATAATACGTTAGATAAAATAACTACAAGATTGTGAGTCTCCAGAGTTATCATTACATTTCTCATTGTTCTCATTCAATATTCACTGTTTGTACCCGTGACGGAAATCTACAAAAAATGTCGACTGCTTTCTTAGTCATTGTAAACTTATATTGTACAAATGGCTTGTATCTTTTTTTTTAAGTCATTTTTATGTGGGATAGGTAGATGAATTGTCCATATTAGATCTCTACACTTTAAATTATTGTATGAAAACATTTGGTAATTTATGTGTCATGCAGTTTTTGGTTTTTAAAATTGTTTCCTTTCAAAAAACTAAATTATAGCTACACAATTCATGGAAACAAGTCAACACAAAACACTTGAGCTCAATTTAAAGATCTTATTAGGAAAGAAACTATATCCTATCAAGTATGAAATATTATATTAATAGAAAAATATTTAATTTTACAAATATTTTTGAGAGCTAAGTTTTTGTAAAATAATGTACAACATGGGAATAACAGAGATAAAGGACACTTAATCTCTGTTTTGTATCTAATTTACATGGGCAATCCATATAGTAAATTCTAATTCTAAATTTTAAATTCTAGATCTATTGCTTCAATGCATTTAGGATAATCCTACAGAAAATAGATGTTCTGACTTTTATAATAGGATTATAATTTGCTCAAAAACTTAAAAATATTGGATTCAAAAGATAAAAATGTGTATCATTTTATCTAGAGTAATATAAAATGTTAATTTAAATTTCTGCAAGTAATGATAATATGTATCCAGATGTTTTTAATTTCATATAACCCTTGTTTTGGACTTAGTGCAAAGCAAAACAAAATAAAAACAAATAATCAAAAATAACAACAACCACAAAACCTCTGATGATTGAATTTAACAATGTATAATTCTATATGAAAATTACTTCTGAATAAGTAAATAGTATTATATTTATGTTTTATAAGAATAACATAGATTCACTTGTGCAGTATCTACTTATAATTGTTACATTTTTAATTTATGAAATCAAATTTGTTTTAGTGACCAATAATTAAAACTTCTAAGAAATAATTATACTTCTCCTAATACATATGTCTAGATGTTTCATTTCTAAATATGCAAGTTGAAAGCTTAATGCTTCCTTTCTATGGTTTAAGCTTCTAGGGACTTTTCACCTTTTACCATGAGTTACTATATTTAATTTCATGTCTTAAAGTCTTTTGAGCTGTGAGTTACACATTTAAATCTCCCAAAATGTAAGCTTAAAATGCATTGTTTCTATCAGACAGGTAACTTTATTTTATGGAGTGTGAACAGCTGTGCTAAATACTGACTTAATGTTAGAATCACCACTGGGAACAAAAGTGTAGAGTTTTGGTTGCTTTAATTAAAAAACATACTGTTTTCAAGTTCCACTTTGATACGTGTGACACAGGAACAAAAGTAAGAATAAAAACCAATAGAGATTATATTATTCCTTCATGGGACTAGAAAACAATCCACCACAAGGATTTGCAGTATCCCACCGTGAGTTCTCTCATTATAATTTTTTGTTTGTTTGTTTATATCTCTGCATGCAGCATCATGTACTCAAGTATATACTTGTTAAAACAGGTTTTTTGTTTTTTTTTCTTGACTCAGATAATTTCTGAACTAGTTAGTTTTTTGGTTCTCATCCAACTAATAAAGTTGTAGTAGAAAAGTTGTAGGTGACTTTCACCTAAGAAGGCAAGGTTAAGGCAGCATCAAGGGAATGGACCCGTGGGTGGATGTTTCTGTCAGGAATTTATCTCAAATGGTGTTTGTAGTCTCTGAGTCATCTTGCTTTAAAACAAACACAAAGAGCTCCTTAATCTGAGGAGGACAAAAGAATGGTGGGGGGAGAGCTTTAGAGTTTTTCTTCAGCTAGTCTCCAAAGGAAGGCTATTTGCTTATTTTCACCAGAATATGAGATGAGAGTGGCTATAGTAGAGAAGGTTTATTTTCTCTTTTTTAAGCATTAAACATGGGGCACTCATGTCCCAAATCTGGGCAGAAAGAATCAGCTTTCCACTTCGCCATTTTCTCCTTCCAGACTTCCAGTATTTTGGGGAAAGAGCAACCAGTAGCCTTTATTTTTATGATCCATAGCTATTGTTAGAATTAAAAATGAAAAAATCTGTATAGTAATCTGTTTAATCCAATTTAAAAGTATTTGGTTGAGAAATTTCTGGGGAGGGTGATATTTTGAAGATTGGAATAGAATGGGATAATATTCTCATTTTGCCTCTATCTACTAAATAAGTGTTCTACCTCCTAAGTCCCCCATTCTTTTATACTGTCAACATTATTGGACATGGGTTTTCCAAAAAAATAATAAATGGATTCCTGAAGCACAGCCAATTAACCACTAGGGACTTATAGGATAGTCCTTGTTAATGCTCATAATTTATGATTTTTTAAAAAGGACCAGATTCTTGCTAAATAACATTTTTATCTTAAACATTCCACAATTCATGAATGTTCTTCCCAAAATTACTCCATCTATTTTACTTGTATTAGTTCTGGTACATCTTCTACTTTTACTTTGTTTTTTTTTTCATTTCAACAGGATTTTACTTGATACTTTCTACCATGGTTTACACATAAATATATTTCTGAAATTAATAAGTAATCTCCTTGAGATACAGTTCTCTGAATTGTATCACGAACATTTACACCTTCTTTTCAGTATTTATATAAGTTCTAAAAGCAAGAATATATAAAGAAATTTGTTTGTCTTTTGCTTCATCTAATACTTTATAAGACACTATTTGACAACCATACAGCAAGTCAAGTTTTCTGTACAAAATTAGTCAGTTTCTGGGGTTCTGCATAGGTCTCACAGTGACATTTTCTGACATAGGTATTGAATTTTATCAGAATAGGTATTAGAATATCTCAAATTGTACCACTGGTAAAATTATTTTAAACAAAAACAACAACCGTGTTCCCTAAGTGCTTTCAGATAAAGGTGAAGTATTCTGGAAACTTCAACTTAAAAAATGGTAGACTTCCTCAGGTATCAGAACACAGAGCACGAGCACACAATGAACTCATCTTCTATGTTTGGATACATAATCATTAGGACTTACCAGTCTGCCAGTCTACCATCTGTGTTTCTTCTTTTAGGTAAGCACTAGATAGCATGCCATCGATAATGCATAGGAAACTGGAAACCTAATTGCATACTTATATTTGTAAAACTTTCTTCTTTTTTCCTTTCACTTAAGCTCACTCATCTATTTACCTAACGATTAATTTCCAGAACTGTGAAATTCCATTTCTTCCAATAAACTATATGAATACTTTAGATAATATTAAAAATATTTTAAATTCCATTCCTGTCAAAATATGTGTCTGTTTATGTCACTAAACTGGCATTTCCCAAGCTTGTCTCATCATCAGAATTATATGGGAAAGTAGAAAGAAGGAGAAAGGAAAGGAAAGAAAAGAAAAGGAAAGGAAAGAAGGAAAGGAAAGAAAAGAAAAGGAAAGGAAAGAAGGAAAGGAAAGAAAAGAAAAGGAAAGGAAAGAAGGAAAGGAAAGGAAAAGAGAGAAAGAAAGAAAAAGAGAAAAAGAAGAGAAGGAAAGACAGAAAAATCTTTAAGTAGATATTTGGATTCTATAAATCTGGATTGGAGCTTGGGAAACCATTTAAGTACCCTAGCTTATTAAAATTCTTGTGCATGTTTGTGACAACTGTACTAGATTTATTTATTGATCTTCACTCATATTTTATAAATACTTATTAAAAGCTAATTTTCACTTAGTGTTTTTGATAGCATTTTCTATTTTAGATGATAATTTCTACTAGGAAACGAATCAAGCTGACTATGACTTCTATTACTTTGTGTTCTTCTTAGTATCATGATCAGTTACTTACACACAGAAATTCCAATGATGTTTAATTGGCTAATTTGTTAGCTACT
Source organism: Homo sapiens (assembly GCF_000001405.40). Lineage (NCBI taxonomy): Eukaryota > Metazoa > Chordata > Mammalia > Primates > Hominidae > Homo > Homo sapiens. The sequence continues at coordinate 92,747,936 of NC_000005.10, read as the reverse complement.
TCCTATCCTTGGCTCCTCTTCTTCCCTTGTCCATTATTTGTGGCTCCTCACAGTGTTTGGCCTCTTTGCTCTTCTGCTACATTCCCTCAGTTGAAGATGTTATCTGCCTGCTTATATTTAATAATCATTTATCAATAATATCTCTTAAGTCTGAATCTTGAGCTTGAACATCTTCATGCTCCCTGCAGTTTTATATAACTTCAAATCCAAGACAATGTATGTAAATTCAACAAGTGCTCAACAAATATTGAATTTATTGAACATTGATAAACTGTTTATATTTTTGTCCATATCTAGCATAGAATTTGTCTCAGATAAATTTATAAAGGAAATGATGCTGACTTCTAGAGACAGCAGCGTATCTATCACTAAGACACCAAAGCAATCTTTACTAAGCTAGGAGTATAGAAGAAAATGAGGGAGTAGCACAAGCTAGAAAATTGAAGACACAGGGTGTAAATTTGAATCCTGGTTTTGCCATTTAGTACATTAATTCAGGCTATCAATTTCTCCAAACCTCAGTTTTCTTTTTTTATTTAAAAATAAAATTGTATTTTTTATTTAAAAAGAAGATAATAATGACATACAGGGCTGTTGGAAGATTAGACAAATACTTATGTTGAATGAGCATATTGTACAGAACTGCAAAATGATATTTAATACTATTGTTGATGTTGTTATTACTACTCTATTTTTCATTACTTGCAAGGAATCTGATTTTAGCAGAATACATATCTGCTTATGCTTTGGGTACACTAAGCATACAGGATGAAGTTGAATTAAGTCTCTCAAAACCAGCTTGTTTACTTCTTATGGCAATGGGACTGACTGATCCTACACTCTTTATAGCTCTTGACTATTACATCTGAGTAACTATATAATCATTCCTATTGGTTTTTGGAGAAAGACTAACAACTTGGATTTAGTGGATTATACAAGAATACATGCAAGGAGGAAGAAAATATATTTTTACATATTAAAGTTTTCATTGAGAAAAGGAAGTCCACAAAGTCAAATCGAAAGCCATCTAAAAGGCAGTAGTTATCTCCTCTTTACAAAAACACGCCTGGAGGAAAAGTACATCCTTGAAATTTAAGAGTTGGTTGCATCCTAAGTAGTATTAGGCTGTGTCAGTAGTCTACAAGGTGTTTGCCCAAGGACGTTTTGCCATCTCTTCCATGATTTTCACAGGCTTCTGATGTACTTTTGAAAAATCAAAGTTCTGTTCAGTATTTGATATTTGTAGCTGACTCTGTGTAAAAGGTGAAGAGAAACCATTAGAATGATTTCCACTTCCTTATAGTTTTACAATATTCTATTCTGAAGAGTGGTCATGCTATACAGAATATACTGTTGTCTTAGTTTTGCTAAATATGTTTCCAGAAGGTTGAAACATTTTCAGTCTTCCTTACTTCCCAGCCCACTTTCACATGTTGTCTTTTTCTCCTGTTATATCACCTGCCATGTGCTCTTCTGAGATTTATAGAGGCATATGAGGTAGATTTAATTAAGAGTAATTTAAACCAGGCCTAGAAATGGCTTAGGGAAATTGAGGTTAAACCTCTAGAATTTGTTTTGTTTTGTTTCTTTAAAGAGGCTGGGTCTTACCATGCTGCACAGGCTGGCCTCGAACTCCTGGGCTCCAGCAATCCTCTTGCCTCAGCCACCTGTGCACCAACTCAACCAGCCTATAATTCGTTGATTTTTGGCTGCCTTGGCAATGCGTCAGAAATGAAAATCAGAACTAGATTCTAGTATCCATACTGTCAGTATACGTTATAGATTTTTTTCTTTCATTTTGATGTTTTGAGTGTATTACCCATCTGTCCATAGCTGCTGCCTTTTCTAATTTTTTTTTCCATTTCAGTGTGTAGAATACAATCTCACTGCTACAAAAGTTGTACAATATATTTTATTAATCTTGAGGAGGATAACTAGGAAGGTAGAAACAAATGCCAGTAGAGTAATGGTTTTTTTCAGCAAAGAGGATTACTAATGATAAATTTCTTTTCTAGGGGACACTTAACAGAAATAAAAATGTGAGTATGTCTGCCAAGATATCAGAAATGCTGAAGGACCAGAAAAAGGGGATGTCTGTTAGCCCCAGAATCAGCCCAAGTACCATCATTCTGGTCATTTCAACAGAGAATTGGCATGGGAAGAGAGGAGTAGGATTGGAGGTGGATGTACATATGTTTTGAGAAACAGTAAAGTAGATAAGAGGAGAAGTTCATCAAAGATTAAAACTCGTTCTCCACTACAGCAAATGATCCTGAAACTTTAATCAGATTTGTCTTTAGGTTCTCTTCCAAATGCCCACAGAACCACTGTCAAACAATGTAACCAATCAAACAAAAGCATTTCTGCCCCTCTACTTAAGGATGCCCTGAACTTTATTATGGGGGAATCAAAAAAATTGTGGGTTCAAGCCCAGCTCTGATAGCTCCAAGACCTTGGGAAGTCACATACCACATAGTTCTCATGGGAAGTCACATACCGCATAGTTCTCAGTTTAATCAATCACTGTAGAAGAAAATCATTGAGTAATGAGTCCAATCAACATAATGCTTGAAAAATGACCAGATCATTCCTGTTTTAATTGAGTAATAGGATTTTGAAAATAAAATAAGGATTATTCCTAGATGAGTTAAGCCTTCAGGTAAAAAATGCTTTGAACTAGAGACAAATTATTAGACTTCATGATTCCTTATGGCCTACCCTGTTTATCTCAACGAATCTATGCTTAGAAGTATTTTTGTCATACAGCTGTAATTGCAAATAGTAACGTGTTACGTAACATCATTGTTTTGGCTTCTTGATTTTTGACACTGTTGATTTCTTATGGGTAATTTGTAAATCAAGATATCACTATAAAGTAACACTAAAATTTCTATCACCAATCATAAGCCATCACAATAGAAATAAAATACAGATACTGATAGAGACAAATAAAATAGAAGTGTAATATTTATTATTGACTGAAAATTTCTGTTTTTTGTTAAAGAATATGTTTCAAATTCCCAGTTGAATTCGATGATAAATTCTTCCTTAAATGCCTCAGATACTACTTTTGATAAAAGGAGTGTGACTATTAATGGAGATGCTAGGTTACTAAAAAATACAAATAATTTAATATCTTCTTGTATGAAATTAAAAGCTTGTATAAAAGACCATAAGAATGAGCTGGAACTGTAAGGAAGGTTGATATATAAGTCTGTGTTTTAAAAATAAATTAAATATTTAAAAAATTCAACGATTTTAGGGCTTAACTGCATTCATAACTAATATTGTCACTGTTGCAGCTAAGTTTTAAAATTTACTTAACAATGCATGGATGACCATAGCTTCTGCCCATTTTAATGACACAAGAGCAATATCTTTTGACATATTCTATTCTTTTACTTTTAAACGGAAGATAAAATGATAGGGAGGAGCTGAAAAGAGAAATATGTAAATGTGTTTCAGATTATTTTATGATTACTATGCCTATGAAATATTCAGAAAGAATTACATCAATATGTTTATTCTATTATTTAGGAACCACAATTAATATTTCTAAAATGTACTTTTTCTTGTAATACCTTTTCCAGTACATTGTCTTTTAATCTCAAAAATGCATTTTATTTGTAAATCAAAATGGTGACAGAGATTGCTTTTCTTTCATTGTGATTGTTCAGAAACTAGAAGTTACCTGATGGGTCTGGTGACTAAGAGACAAAGAAGTAAATATGATCAAAGTTTCCTTTCTTAAAGTTTGCTTTCCAGCTATGTATTCTGATTCCTCTAGTCAAAAGTTCATTTTACAGTGATAGAGGGGTGGGCCATATCTAGTGGGTGGTCATTTGCTAAAGCAAGCTGTTTTGTGACAGGAGAGTATTTGCTATAAAAGAGTCTGTAGGTGGGGAGATGGTTTCATTTATTGGCCTATTTGTAGTTTTCAATGGAAAAAAATGTGTAGGCAGTTGTTTAATCTGCCCTAGGAAATGTAGAGTAATTAGAGGCTTAAGGAAATTCTCATTGATGGTATTTGTGAATATAAAGTAAGGCAGAAAAGCCTCATGTCATTCCTTTTTATATTTTGTTATTATTATTATTTACAGCTGTTGATATGGTCTTTAGGTCTCTGACAAAAGTGGACTCTTACAAGGATTGGAAAGTAGTTTACCATAGGGGGCAATGTATTTTATACTTAGCAATAGCAATTCTACTTTGAGTTCTATGAGGAAAAAGGTTTAGGTATTGATCCAATGGACCAGTTAGCTTGTAGTTTTTGGAAAGAATTGAGAAAGCTAAATAAGAATTCGGCTTTTGACTGCAGTGACTAAAATGTTGTTACCTGGAACCATCTAATCATTTTTTTTTTCTTAATAGTGGATTCATTTAAGAAAAAAACAACCCTCACAGAATCTCTATTTTATCTGGAGAATTAGTCATTGTGTTTTGCCTTTTGATGTACTGTTGCAATAAGGATCCACACATAGATTCTATTAAGCTTTGCTAATGTTCTATCAACTAGGGGACCTGCAGATTTAACCTATAGAGAGAATGTAGCTTTCACTGCCAAAATCAAGTTTTCCCTAAAGCACACATCGAACTTCCATCTTCCACTCTAGGGCATTTCCTTTCCAGAAAAGATCCCCTAATGGATATTAGACTAAAATAATAGCATAGCAGCTAAATGTATTGTTTCTTTACAAATGTTTCAATACAGAGACAAAGGGAGTGTGTTAATTTCCCTCCTTTTAGTCTCACTTAAAAATTCATATAGCTGAGTACCTGGCAATCAACACTTAATCAAACAACCAACAGAGAAATTAATTGTAAAATAAATGTGATCTAAACTGTCACTGTAAAAAGGCTGAAGTAGAATTCATTTTATGTAGACTTCAAGCAACTCAACTTAATTTCTGAAGCATGATTTTAATGGTGGCCTTTACTAAAATGCATATTTTAACAAGGCATATTTACAGTACATAATAAATGTTTAAATTAAATTAATTAGTATGTATAGTTGGGGCTTTCTTACTGTTTAGAATTATTTGCCTTGCTAAAGTAGTAAATCTAGATGAGCTGAGCACTCAAATGTTTCTAATAACAACACTTGGCATTTGTACAGTGCACTATATTTCCTAAGTACTTTATAATTACAGTATTAATTAGTTAAGTGACACAGTGATCTTGTGAAGAGGTCTGCATCATTATCTCCTTTTACAAATGAGGAAACTTTAAATGCAAAGGACACAGCAATTCACATAGCAAGTAAATCAGGTTAAGAGTAAAAAAGCTTTTGCTTGACTTGTGTATGTCTGATGTTGCATTTAATCAAGAACAATTTATTTTGATGTCATATTCTCTTGGCTCAACATAGCTGGGTAATAACCCCATATGGTAGGTAGAGATTTCATCCTATATATATATATATGTATATATGAGATGAAAACAACATATATATGTATATTTTTTTTTCAGAGAGCTAGTAGATTGAAGAAGAAATAAAAAAGAGAAAGTTCTTTAGTTTCATTATAGTCTGTCTCCATAATAAACTCTCATTGTATCCTCGAGTCTGAGTTGTTGAGCATGGTACCTTGATGGAGCATTGAGTAGCCTCCTGAAAGGGCTCCTGGTAACTTATCAGAAGGAAGCATAGGCTGTCTATTTCTAGAGCATTTCTAGTGTTTCCTGGCAGAAAAGGGGAAAATAATAATTTTAAAGGCTAATGAAGTTTAAAAATTTATTGGAAATGTCAGAAGCATTTGAACCATAGCAACTCCATCTTGAATAGGAGCTGGGTAAAATAAGGCTGAAACCTGCTGGGCTGCATTCCCAGACGGTTAGTGATTCTAAGTTACAGGATGAGATAGGAAGTCAACACAAGATACAAGTAATAAAGACCTTGCTGTCAAAACAGTTTGCAGTAAAGAACCCAGCTAAAATCCACTAAAACCAAGATGGCCACAAGAGTGACCTCTGGTCGTCCTCACTGCTGCCCTCCTACCAGTGCCATGACAGTTTACAAATGCCATGGCAACATCAGGAATTTACCCTATATGGTCTAAAAAGGGGAGACATGAATAATCTATCCCTTGTTCAGCATATCATCAAGAAATAACCATAAAAATGGGCAACCAGCAGCCCTTGAGTCTGCTCTGTCTATGGAATAGCCATTCTTTTATTCCTCTACTTTCTTAATACACTTGCTTTCACTTTACTCTATGGACTCACCCTGAATTCTTTCTTACATGAGATCCAAAAGCCCTCTCTTGGGGTCTGGATCTGGACTCCTTTTTGGTAACAGAATCTCTTTGTCTTATAGTCTCAATGCAAAAATATTATGAAATAATTTTAGGTTATTTTAAGAAAACAACTTCAATAAGCATTAATTAATCACTTATTTATATTCTGATTAGGCTTCTGGACTCAGGTCACTTGTAGTTGAATAAGATATAAACATGTAAACAAATCAGAGCAATATCCAACAAATATTTATTAGGCACTTGCTAAATATCAGGCGTGGTTTTAGAAAATACGACAATAAACAAAACAGAAAAATTTCTGCCTTAGTGTAGTATACACTCTAGTGAGTAAATGAAAAATATAGGCACTGTGATACAAGAGGGGTGGAATACTAACAGGTAAGACATGAAGGAAAGGGTGGTCAATATTTGTTATCTGAGAGACATTGTCATCAGCAAAGGCTTAATGATGAAGTGGCACTTGAATTTAATATTATATAATGAGTAACTTTTATTTCACAGCAAAAGAGAAAAACTTTAGGGTAGCCAAAGGGATTGGAGGATGTGAGGTGATTCAAGTGAGAAAAGGTTAAGTGTAGAGAAAACATACTAAGCAGAGAAAGTCTAGCAGATAAATAGGCATAGAAAACAGTCAGGAGGCCTGCAAGTATTTGACAAAGCTAGAACTTAGGGTATATGGGTAATTGGCTTTGAGAATTAGTAGAAAAACTACAAACCCACACAATCTGGAAAACTAGTACCACCTTAATTATGGCTGTCCAGTACATTGGCAGAGAAGATAGGTGAGACAGGTGGTGCTGGCAACTAGTTGCCTGGGGGATAAAGGAGAATGACAAAGAAGGAATAGATGAGGTTAATACATTTTCCATCTTTATCTGACTTTACAAAGGAAGCACTAAATAATATATACAAGAAAACAAAGAAAACTAAACTGCAGCAGCAACAATAAAAACTTTTCTCCTATAACCCTTTATTTGATTATTCAACTACTTCTTTTTCTTCCTCCAATTATATGTATTAAGTGATCAAATGAGCATTACCAAAAGCCAAGCCAAGCCAAGCCAACCAAAGATCATTGAAATTCACAGGGTAAGATGAAATGAATAATAAGATTCAACAATGGATAAAGATTAAACATGAAAAGGAATCATGTTACAGACTATTTCACAAGTGTCTTTGTTTTTGAGTTATAGAAAGGTTGAGTTGTTTTCCACATTTCTACAGTACATGAAGACCTCTCTTTATTTGGATTTAACAATTTCAAATACTCACAGTGTCCACTAACAGGCTCAGGCTATGAGAAATGTAATATACTTTTTGTTTTTTTTTCCCTGTCATTATGGCTACTCCCACTGCTCAAACAACTACTCTTGTTGTTTGTGGACCACTTTTTATTTTTATTGATATATCTAGTACCTAGTCCAAGTGCCTAGTACATAGCAAGACTCAAGTGTCATTTATTTGTTGAATGAATTATAGATAGATTTACAAAATATTGCCTGAAAAGAATAGTACTGATGCTGAATAGAGGGATTAATGAGTGTTAAGCAGTTTTAGTGTGCACTGGTTATTAACTTGTCTGAATCCAGTGAGACAGAACACCCACATACAGAAGTTACCTAAAGAAGGTTTATTATTTACAGATAGGCATCAAGGAACAATAGAATCATACGATACATTACGAACCAGTCTTACAAGGCTCAGGAAAGCTGCTCAGGGCAGATGGAGTTTCATTTGTGCATACTCTACAGGTACTGAAGCTGAGGGGTGCTGGAAAGTTGTCCACTCTGGTTTTATACCTTGGGGGTCAGAAGACATGCTGGGTTAAAGCCTTGAGGGACATCCTGATTCCAGGGTGGGGACTGGAAGAGAGCCTGAGTTGTTCTGACTAGCTCCCCTCATCTCAGGATGTTGCATTCTCACCACAATCTAAAGCTATTCTTGAGAACTACAAGCGAGAAAGGGGAGAGAACTGGGTTGGTACAAGGCCACCTGGAGAATTGTTCTGTGATGGGGAATTAGTACCCCAGTGAGATTTTTATCCCCTTAACTTTTATTTGTTGAAAGAATTGAGAGATAATTATTACACAGGGGGAAAAAAAACACTTTCTATAAAATGGATTTTGAGTAGAGGTCTAACCTAAGCATTTTCCATATTTACTGTTCTCATGAGTGAGGAAGAACTGTTTTAGTATTTCTGATTCTCTTAATATGAAAAGTATATTTGCTTCTAAAAATCTGGTTTTAAAACGAAAAGTCCAAAACCCTGCATCTACAAATATCATCAAAATCTATGTGTATTTGCTTTCTACTCATTATTTTTCTTCCAAGTATAATATAATAGTAACAACAAGGTATTTAATAAGTTGTGTCCAATAACACAGTATTTTTTCTTTATTGAAAATAGCCTTATATATTTTCTTTACCATGGAATAATTTGTCTGGATCTAATTTCCTTCCCTTCCTTCCTTCCTTCCTTCCTTCCTTCCTTCCTTCCTTCCTTCCTTCCTTCCCTCCCTCCCTCCCTCCCTCCCTCCCTCCTTTCTTTCTTTCTTTCTTTCTCTCCTTTCTTTTTGAGATAAAATCTTGCTCTGTCATCAGGGCTGGAGTTCCATGGGGCAATCTTGGCTCACTGCAACCTCCACCTCCTGGGTTCAAGCAATTCTCCTGCCTTAGCCTCCTGAGTAGCTGGGATTACCAGCATGCATCATCATACCCGACTAATGTTTTTATTTTTAGTAGAGATGGAGTTTCGCCATGTTGGCCAGGCTGGTCTCAAACTGCTAACCTCAAGTGATCCACCTGCCTTGACCTCCCAAAGTGCTGGGATTACAGGCGTGAGCCACCACCCCCAGCCCTAATTTTCTTCTCATGTAAAAAATAATGAATTAATATGTTCATTATGAATAATGAATAATGTATCAATTTCCATCGCTATGTTTTAATAATGGTCTTGGAGTACTAAGCAATGAAATTAGACAAGAAAAATATATAAGGTAAAAATGCTGAATAAGAAAGAAATATTATTGTCTGATTTTAGGACTTTATACCTGAATAGCCAATATATTTTACCCCAAAACTATTACAAACATTAAGACAACAGAGCAGAGTTTCTCATTACAAAACCGATACAAAAAGTTTATGGCTTTCTTATATAAACAAAATGGAAAACCATCCCATTTATAATAGTAACATGAAAGATGAATATGCTATGGACTGTGTTGTCTTCCCTCAAAAGTCATATGTTGAAGCTCTAACTCCAGTGTGACTTTACTTGGAGTAAGAAAGAAATTAAAATGGATCATAAGGATTGGGGCCTAGTCCTATAGAATTAGTGTCCTTATAAGAAGAGACAACAGAGAACTTGCTTTCTCTCTGTCTACCATGTGAGGATACAGCAAGAAAGCAGCTGTCTGAAAGTTGGGAAGAGAGTCCTCACTAGAAACCAAACCTTGCTGAATCCGTGCTGTTGAAGTTTCTAGCCTCCAAAAATATGAAAAAATATGACAAATATATGACAAAATACATTTTCTTTAAGCCACTCAGTTTATGATATTTTTAATGAAAGCCTAAACAGGCTCATACAGAACACTTAGGAGTAAAATTAGTAGAGAATGTGTATGAAATAAACATTTAAAAATAAGCAAACTTAAATAGATGGAAATGTTACCTTATTTGAGAATAGCAAGACTAAAATACTATAAAAATGGCAATAATCTCTAAATTAGTATACAAATTCAATGTTTATGAATGAAAACATCAATGAAAATTTTTTAGCAATTAGAAAACTGCTAGATAATATATGAATATATGTTCTATTATATAGAACATATATAAATAACCATAAAGAAATATATAAGACAATTTCAATAAGTGAGAATATTAAAGAGGAGTAACCAAAAAGTAATAAAATTTAATAAATAAAGCTCTGGCCCTTGGAAAAATATAGATGAAAGAAATATGGAGAATAAATATATGATAAGAATGGCATTCAAATTACTTGGGGAAAATGTAATATTCATTCAATTTTTCAGGGTACCTAGCTAGCCATATGCATACAAAATGAGATAAATGCCCCAATTAAAAGACTCAGACTGGCAAATTGGATAAAGAGTCAAGACCCAATGGTGTGCTGTATTCAGGAGACCCATCTCACGTGCAAAGACACACATAGGCTCAAAATAAAGGGATGGAGGAATATTTACCAAGCAACTGGAAAGCAAAAAAAGAGCAGGGGTTGCAATCCTAGTCTCTGATAAAACAGACTTTAAATCAACAAAGATCAAAAGAGACAAAGAAGGGCATTACATAATGGTAAAGGTATCAATGCAACAAGAAGAGCTAATTATTCTAAATATATATGCACCCAGTACAGGAGCACCCAGAGTCATAAAGCAAGTTCTTAGAGACCTACAAAGAGACTGAGACTCTCACACAATAATAGTGGGAGATTTTAACACCCCACTGTCAATATGAGACAGATCAACGAGACAGAAAATTAAGGACATTCAGGGCTTCAACTCAGCTCTGGACCAAGTGGACCTAATAGACATCTGCAGAACTCTCCACCCCAAATCAATAGAATATACATTCTTCTCAGCATCACGTAGCACTTATTCTAAAATCGACCACATAATTGGAAGTAAAACACTCCTCAGCAAATGCAAAAGGACAGAAATCATAACAGTCTCTCAGACCACAGTGCAATCAAATTAGAACTCAGGATTAAGAAACTCACTCAAAACCGCACAACTACATGGAAACTGAACAAGCTGCTCCTGAATGACTACTGGGTAAATAATGAAATTAAAGCAGAAATAAATAAGTTATTTAAAACCAATGTGAACAGACACACAACCTACCAGAATCTCTGGGACATAGCTAAAGCAGTGTTTAGAGGAAAATATATAGCACTAAATGGCTACATGAGAAAGCGGGAAAGATCTAAAATTGACACTCTAACGTCACAATTAAAAGAACGTAGAGAAGCAAGAGCAAACAAATTCAAAAGCTAGCAGAAGGCAAGAAATAACTAAGATCAGAGCAGAACTGAAGGACATAGAGACACAAAAATCCCTTGAAAACATCAAGGAATCCAGCAGCTGGTTATTTGAAAAGATTCACAAAATAGATAGACTTCTAGCCAGACTAATAAAGAAGAAAAAAGAGAAGAATCAAATAGACACAATAAAAAATGATAAAGGGGATATCACCACTGACCCCATAGAAATACAAACTACCATCAGAGAATACCATAAACACCTCTATGCAAATAAACTAGAAAATCTAGAAGAAATGGATAAATTCTAGATTAAATATATTAAACGTGCAGATAAAACCTGCACGTTCTGCACATGTATCCCGGAACTTAAAGTATAATAAAAATAAATAAATAAAACAACCTAATATATACCACATTACTATAACAGAATGAAGGCAAAAACCACATGATCATCTCGATTAAAGTGGAAAAAACACATGACAAAATTCAGCACTTTTTTATGATAAAACCACTCAACAAATTAGGTATTAAAAGCAGTATCCTCATGTGATCTAAAAATTCCACTTCTGAGTATGCACCCAAAAGATTTGAAAGCAGAGTTTAGAAGAGTCATTTGTCCCCCCAAGCTTTTGGCAGCATTATTCACAACAGCCAAGAAGTGGAAGCAAGCCAAGTGCTCCTCAACTGATGAATGGATAAAGAAAATACGGTGTATGCATACAATGGAATATTAGTTAGCCCTAAAAAGGAAGGAAAAGATGCATCATCCTACAACATGGATAAACCTCAAAGACATTCAGTGAAGTAAGTTAGTTCTAAAAAGACAAATACTGTATGATTGCGCTTATATGAGGTACCTAAAGTAGTCAAATTTATAAAGACAGAAAGGGGAATGGTGGTTGTCAGGAGCTAGAGGCTAAGAAGGAATGATTTGTTGTTGTTTAAGGAGTATAGATCTTCAATTTTACAAAATGAAACGAGTTCTAGAAATTGATTATATAACACTGTAAATTGTGCCTAACACTACTGAACTACACATGAGTATATGCTTAAGATGAAAAATGTTTTATGTTTAATAAGCAAAAAAGCAAGGTACACAATATTGAACCATTCATACAATCAAAACTAAAAATCAAACTGGGGCAGAAGAGTTGAGGATAAGGGAGAAATAGGAGGACTAATTTTGTGCTTTATTTTTACCTTTTGGTGTATTTTGGAATTTTTTTCATGAGTATGTATTACCTTTAAGAAAAAATACTTAGGAAGGTAGATTGATATAGATGGATAGATAGGTCAATAGATAAATACATAGTTGGGTTGGATCAAATGAAATTGATCAATTCTGATGCAAGACAATGGCAATCTCATAAAATTCAATAAAATACATGAATTAGTAATAGAAAACAAGTAATTTATTAGTAATTTATCTAATATTTAAATTTCTTTTCAGTTTTGATTTTATAAATTTAAAAAATAGCTTCAAAAAGTAAATCTCAATTTAGTGTTAATAAGTTAGAAGTCTACTGAGTTTTTGACATCAAAGCCCAAATTGCTACATTTGAAATTCTGTTCGCAAAGTATTGGATTTTTTTTTTTAAGGCATTTTAGCTCATTGAGTTCTAAGATTAAAAATTAGGACTTACTATATAGTTTACACATGGCACATTTATTGAGACTTAAACAATGCAGACATGTGTAGCATCTTAAAGAATATTTTTAGACACTCTTTGTTTGTTGATTATTATAGAATGTTTTCCATGCAATAATTACATAAAGAGAGAATAGTTGCATGTTTTAGAAATGGCATTGCTCTTGTTGAATCCACATCAGCATAAAAGATTCAGCAGAAAAACCATGATTGTGAATGGGGAGAAGCTCATAGGGTCTGGTTCAAACATTTTTTTTTGCTGGTGACGCAGCTCATGTTCCTTAGGCAGATGATGTATAGTAATAGTTGAAGCATATAATAAATATCCTTTCTTACTAATGTATTACATTTTATTAGCTAGATCAATATTGCTGTAATTTCCACCCATTAGCATCTCATTGCTGTAAAGTACATAAAAATATTTACATTAACACTGATCAAAATTGCAACAGTGTATATTAAAATATGAATGACATATAATCAGAATTTTCCATTTCTACTGCCTCCAGTTATTTGTGACCCCAGATATGAAGTTCAAGTTTATACTTAATAGCACAATTATGTAAATCTGTAATTCTAACACTGAATTACAGCTGGTAATGATCAATAATTATATTTATGTATGATGTGAAGTTAATACTGCCACCATAGATTAATGTAAACAACAAAATTATTTCTGCAGTCAAGAGCTAACAAATCATTATAAACAAAGAGAACTAAAACAATTTCTACAGAGCCTAATTCCTCCAGCAGAGTAAACAGATTTTTTATTCCCAATGAATCTTAAAGCCCCGATTATAGAGAACATGACTCCACCATAAACATCACAATGTCTGAGTGTTTCACTACAATTTTTAATTCTTATTTCAGCCTTCAGAGAAGGGAAAGTGTTCTGAAGTATCTGATAAGGCTTTGTTGAGAAGACTGCTGGTAAAGGTGAAAGACAGAGAAAAATAGAGATTTCAGAAAAATGCAAGCAGCCAATTTAGCAAACCAATTGGCAAATGTATATATCTTTTTGGTACATTATAGATTTTGAGATCTTTTCACTAAAAATTTATTCTTTGCAAACACAGCATACAATTATATAGAGCTATGATGATGTCAAATGTGACCTTTATTTGAATTTGAGCCATGAATGAAAGGAAAAAAAGCAGGACATGTTCCACGTGAGACAGAGTTTAATTTTCAACAATTAGGAATTTCTGAATTGGGGGAAGACATAGGAATTAGACATAGGAATCAGGTTATCCATCTTTGCATTACTTAGCATTCTGTAAAGAGTACACACTTCATAAACAGACACAGTTGTAGATTAGCCATACTGTAGTACAATGAAATGCACTGAAGAAGAACAAATCCAATGTTATAAAATAATTATGCTCCTCACTAGGACTACAATCAATGTCATATTTCCTGTTTCACCACTAAGGTTAAAAGAGGAGGAATTGACATAGAAAGATAGGCATTTTATGTCTGTTTTAGTCATTCATCATTTACTTAACATTTAAATTATATATAGTGTTTCCCATGGGCCAGACACTATTCTAGGCACTTTGCATACAATGACTTACTATTTCCCACAATTACTCTGAAAAGTAGATGCCACCAATATCTCTGCTTTATAGATGAGAAAACTAAGGTACAGATGGGCCCAAGCTCACGTAGGTAATAGGTGGAGGAGGTAGGATTTATACCAGATTTGCCTAAAACTAAAATTATGTTCTTTGCTTCAGATTATGCTGCATAATACAAATTGTCAGTATTATGTAGTGGAACTCTGTTAAATGCAACTTTTGGTTTCCTCATTTAGGCCAAGTTAGAGGTTATGCTTCATCCCCCTCTACTGCAGGGCGTGTCATCCACAAAACTATTGATACTTTGGATCAAATAACTCTTTTGTTTTGGGGGCTGTCGTCTGCATTGTAGGATGTTTGGCCTCATCCTTGACTTCTACTCACCAGATGCCAGTAGCACCACCCTATCCAGTTGTGACAAGCAATATGTTCCCATGGGAGCAAAATCACTCCCAGTTGAGAGCCAGTGAATCTTAGACAAATCTTAACAACTGTGGATAGTAAAATGGATTTTCAATGAATGTTTATCAGTAACATTCAATAAGTGTCAGGTATTATCTCCATTCCCAAACTTCCTAGAAAACTTAACATCTTGATTTTATCAAGGATGATCCTGGGAAATGCAGATTGACCATAAGAATTAGTCATTTTAGTGTTGTAACTTCTCATGATGATGTTGCAGGTGATGGGTGGCCTCCCTGTTTTTTATGAATTCACATCTCTGACATATCTTATTTTTCACTTGTGACTATATTGAAAATCTAGAGAAACAATGGGAAGGAGATAATTTCTACTCCTTTTAACCCATTGACACAACTACTTCATATATCAAAAGACTGACTGCTTCTAAAGTAGTAAGTTAAAACCTTCTTTACAATGTATTTCTCTTATTTTAGGTAAAATTCTGGTTTCCTTTAAAGATAGTCTTAACAGCATAATTCCATTCACTCTCATGATAAATACACATTTCTTGAGTTGGCAAGGGGATTATTGGCTGAGAGCTCGAATCTCTCTTTGAACAATCCCAGCTACCATATAGCAAAGTGGAAAAAAGTGGAATAATTCTAAGCTTTCTTGCAGAATTTCTTGTGGCATGATACTCCTCTTACATTGTAAATTTTCATCTAGTGACCTGGCCTGATATATTTGTATATTTTACCTGGTCCCTATGGGAATTTCTAGGATTCTTAATGAAGGACAATTGTGTTCTTTCTAGCTTTTCACTATAAAGATGATGCAAAGACAGAGCCTTTATAAGAAATTTATTTATTCAATAAACATATATATAGCATTTATTACGTACCAGTCACTGATCTAAGAGATTCATAGAAATTAGCTCATTTAACTCATGAAGTACTTAGGAGGTAAGTCCTGCTATTTTTTATAATCACTCTCCTTTAGAAACAAAGAAACTGAGGCACAGAAATTTTAAATAAATTACCTAAAGTCACATGGCAAATAAGTAGCCATGGGACTACTAGAATTTGAACATAGTTCAAATAGTGGGCATGCTCAGCAGTGGCCATGCTGGTGCCCCAGAATGTTATGAATCATTTTTTCATAACAACTAGATGGGGAGGTGCTGCTGGTATCTGGTGGGTAGAAGACATAGATCGGGCCAAATATCCTACAATGCAGAGGACAGCCTCCAAAACAATAAGGGAGTCTATTTCTTTTCTAACTCAAAAATATCTCTACATTTCTGCCAAGAAAGAGTTCCCCATTTTTCATATTTTTATTCTTATAAGAATTTTCATAATGGAGCCCCTAGGCCAAGGTTCTGACTGCAGGACTGTGTGTGTGTGTGTGTGTGTTTGTGTGATTTTGGACCAAAGTTCTTATTATTGCATTAGTTCCCAACATTTAAAAAATTGGAAAATTTCTCAGAATAAATATGGATTTCTGGTTTCTCTCGGAATAATTGGAAGACCAAAAAATAACAGATTTAGTTTTCTTATATGGCAACAATCTGTCACAGCTAAAGCAGTTGTACTTTTTATTTGGGACATGCAAGTCCAAAACTCTCTAGTGTCTTACATCTTGCCTGTCTCATTTACTGTTTCTGCCTGCCCTCTGGATGAATTTAGACTGATCCCTCTACACTAGTCCCCGAAAGGTCTGACAGGAGCAAGGCAGAACCTAGTTCTCAGAGGACATAGGAGTCCAAGAAGGGACCAATTTCTAGAACTTGAGAATAAGGTGGATTCTTAGGCCCTCTCAGATAAATGTCCAGAGACTAATGATTAAATCTGGGTTACAAATTACAACATAAAAATCAAAGTCAGACATTATGTAAAATTACTATGGCATTACTCTGGAGTAAGTACCATATCTTCCTTTTGATGAGAAATAGGAATTAACTGAATTAACTTAGCAAGTGGGGCAGAATTGATTGATAAATTGGCCCAGATGTGCAGGGTGAAGGTTTGCAAGAGAAGTCTTGTCTTTCTATTATTGGACATGTAAAATGTGGTTTACGTTGATGAAAATTTCATTATATTTCTGGACTTTTTATGTTACTTGAGCTTGATTTTGGCTGAAGAATTATATAAAATGTAAATTTTTCTACACGATTTTCCAGTAACATATAGAGGAGCATATTCCTGGAATTCCATGAAAGGAGAAAATATTTAAGGATTTACTAAGTGGGAGAGGAGAGCTATTAAAAGTGTTTTCATTTTTACTTAGCTAGACACTGGAATTTCACAAAAGTCCAACAGTGGTAAGATAGTTTTTAATATGGAATCATGGACAATTAGTTAGGGGAAGCAGCTGGGAGACTTTGTAAATGATCTGTAAGTGAACATAAATGACTATGTAGCAAGATTTAAGTAGAGCAGTTAGTGAAATGCTTTGAATCTAAATTTGGAGCACTTAATTTTAAACAAAAAGGGACAATTAAGAAAGAAAGGACCTATGAGTAAAGAAATCTTCAATGTCACACTCAGTCTATTAAATTTTTTTTTTTTTCTATAGAAAGGCAGAAACACTGTAATACCTCTAGGGTCATAATTGCATCAGTCACTTCACAAATGCCATTTTTAAGGAAACATTTTGCAGAAATCCTTACATGTTATAAAAGCACTTATTGTAGTTACATGGATGTACTCACTAGTCTTCTGGTATTCAGTATCAGAAATAGTTTATACTACGGTATCTTGATTGATGATATCCATGAAACTGAGACTAGGTATTTAGCAATTGCAGGTAGGCCAAACTTACTCTGCAATCAGCAAGTCAGTCTGAAAATTAGATTAAAATGTGTTTATAGGTTAAAACCAAACCTTTGTGATAAAAGAGTGGAATTCAAAGCAGTATGAGTAAGGAGAAACTATTTGAGGTCTTCTGGTTAAAGATCTCACCAATTCCCAAATGAAGAAAGCTGGGTAGCTGCTGAACCGCAAGACTTTATATGTCAACATTGTATACTTTCTGGTATGTTTGCCCATATAGTTTACATTGTACATTATATTTATTCTCAAAGTATCTATTGAATAAATTCTCTGTAGTTCACTTTAAGGTATAAATTTTGTCCCTGTCTATTCATCTTTCTATGGCCATTTTCAATTACAGAATTAACATAGTTTTTGTTTAAGAATTAAAGAGATATCTTTCCAGGTGGATCTGACTGCCATCTAAAGATTTTATTCTAGATGGTCCAAACCCAGGTCATTAATCCAAGGGTCTGTTGGGAAAGAGAATGATTAAGCACCTTATCTATTATCTATTGCTGCCTAAGAAGCCAATTCAAAATTTAGGGGCTTAAAACACTAAATTTACTGTTATGATTATCATCTATTACGATTTTGGACAGTTCATTTGCTGATTTTGTCTGCTGGTTTCTCAAGCAATTGTATTCCACTAGAGCAGCAGTCCCCAAATTTTTTGGCACTAGGAACCAGTTTCATAGAAGACAATTTTTCCAAGGCCATGGGGTGGGGGTGGGAGATGGTTTTGAGATGAAACTGTTTCATTTCAGATCATCAGGCATTAGTTAGATTCTCATAAGGAGCACACAACCTAGATCCCTCACATGCGCAGTTCACAGTAGGGTTCCTGCTTCTATGAGAATCTAATGCCACTGCTGATCTGACAGGAGGCAGAGCTTAGGCTGTAATGCTCTCGCCCACTGGTCACCTCCTGCTGTGGAGCGTGGTTCCTAACAGGCCATGGACCAGTATGGGTCTGGTGCCCAGAGGTTGGGGACCTCTGCACTGGAGAATCTGCTAGGCTACAACAGCCAAAATAGTCTAAGTCAGATATCTGGCATATGGCGCGGACTGTTGGCTGGGCAGCCTCCATTTTCCATATGGCTGCTCATCCTCCAGGAGTCTAATGGACTCCTCTTCACATGGCAGTCTCAGGGCAACATTGTCAGTGGGGGTGAAGGCAGAAGTTGCTAGATGTTTTGAGGTCTAGTGTCCAGAACTTGCAGAACTTCAAGTTTATTACATTTGTTACTAGTCACAAAACTAGTCTTGATGCATTGTGTGGGGAAATAGACTCCAATTCTTGAATAGGGAGAGTTGCAAAAAATCTGCATCCTTAAATATTAGACCAGAGGCATTGAGCCAATAGTGGGCATGAAAACGAGGATATCACAAAAACGTTCATCAGAGCTAGAGCATGAGGAAACATAGCATAATTTTCAAGGCAAAATGGGGGTGCCCATAGTAGATATTTGAAGTGTAATTCCTATACCTACTTTGATATATGATTTGGGTATGTTTAAACGTGTCTAGAGGAGGGAACTCCTATAGAATGTGACCTAAATATAAATTTTTTCCATGGCAGAATGGTAATTTTTTTTCCGTATACTGTACATAATATTTGGCTGGAACAGGTATTTCTGCATTTCTTTCACTATAATAAGCTTTTAAATGCTTTGGTTACAAAATTTCCACTCAAACTGAACTTATTAATTCTAAACCTGCATGAACAAAGGATGTGTTCTACTGTTAATTTACTTTTTGTTGAAAAACTCAGAGAAGGATTGTTCTTACAGGAGGAGAAGACAATTATGCATGAATCTTAAAACTCCAGGCATATTTTCTGATATAATGGAGTTGTAAATATGGAATTTCTGGTTTTTTGTTGCTAGTCAATGGAACACAAATTAAAGAACCAATATTGTTGCAATATTGGTGGTGATTTCAATGAAGGAATCATGGTCCTTAGCACATCTTATTTTTAAAGGAATCTTATAACAGATTTACATAACTGTGTGAATTGAAGAATGGTTAGTGTGGTATTTTGTGCTGTCTACAACTGACCTAGGCTTATCTTTATGTGATCATTTGATTACTGTACAATCTAATGGATCATGTATTCCCACATAGCACAGTGTCCTGAATAAATTCAATGAATAAACATGATGATCTGAGTTTATTCTTCACGTATCTACTGTATTCATATGGTGGTCCAGATATTTTAACCAATGAGATCTTGACTTATTTTAGTCTTAGTCTTCATTTGAGATCTTAATTATCACAGACACTAAATCTAAATTGCCTTCTTTAAATTAGATCAGAGGGGTGTGATTGGATTATACCTATGACCAAAGCATCATTTTTCACTTACTAAGAAAAGTGTGAACGAAGATGACTATGCCTCCACTCATCACATTAAATTCTAAGTTTATTTCCACTTTGCAAAGGTGAATTTTATTTCTCTTTTGTATTTCATACAACAGCAAGTACACACCACTTTCTATATTTAACATCTACTTGTATCAGGCTTAGGTGTGGCTGCATATTGCATCTCTCCATCCTAAATGATAGTGAGCTAGTAAGTTGATTTTTCTCTCATGTTTAAAATGCCCTGAGGTAGGCAGAACAGGGCTGTTTTGACAGCTCCACTAGTTGCTTCAGGTAACAGCTTCCTTTTAGCTCATCCCTCTGTCACTTCTAGGATGTGCCCCTGTAATCCTAGATGACTAGTGGAACTCCAGATGTCACATGTGCATTCCAGGCAGCAGGAGGAGGAGGGATTTACTCTTCTTCAAGTAAATAATACTTCATTATAACTATTTTTTTTTGAGACAGGATCTCGCTCTGTTGCCAAGGCTGGTGTCCAGTGATGTGATCTTGGCTCATTGCAACCTCCGCCTCCCGAGTTCAAGTGATCCTCCTGCCTCAGCCTCCCAAGTAGCTGGGATTACAGGCAGCGCCACCACACCCAGCTAATATTTGTATTTTTGGTAGAGACAGGGTTTAGCCATGTTGTTCAAGCTAGTCTCGAACTCCTGGGTTCAAGTGATCTGCCTACCTCTGCCTCCCAAAGTGCTGAGATTATAGGCGTGAGCCACCGCGCCCAGGCCATTATAACCTTTTGACCCAATCTTGGTCACATATCTACATCTGCTTCAGAAGCTGAGAAATGTAGTCTTTTAGCTGGGAGCGTGTCAGCTTATTAAAAATTGAGATTCTATTGTTAAAGAAGAAGGAGAGAATGGATATTTGGAGGCAACTATCAGTCTCTTCTACCGTACTTAGTAAGAGTTAATTGAATTGAATAGAAATCATTGTGTAGAGATGTCTGATGTGTGCTTTGAGAATCACTAAAACTCGACAAGGTATTTGAAATCACCTAACTTCATATTATTTGTTGCTTCCTGTTATTCAAAAATGTAACCTGCATTTAGATTATCAGAAGATACTGTAACCTCTTAAAATATGAATCTATTTATCTTCAATTTCTGTGCTGAAGGCAACAGCTGCATCTTACCAATGAACCCCATCTGATAGAAACATGTGTCTGATTTCTATTTTAGTCTTGGCATAGTAACTGTGAAAGACTTTGGTTGGCACTTGGTTATATTGCTAATATGTCACCTACTATTATTGCTGCTGCACCAGCTTTTCTGTCACATCTCTTATCATGTAACATATCTATAACCCCTATAAATAGGATAGAATTATATGCTTTAATAAAAAATGCAAATCTTAATTCTATCCCTAAACATATACACACCCATTGACTTGTGCATTTCACATTTTGTTTTCTATTTTCACTCAAATTCTGATACCATTATTTAAAAACTGTCAAACACTCTAGAAAGACTGAAAAGAAGGAAATCAACTAGAAAATTATGCAGTTGGCAGCATTGTGCTAAAGAATGATAAAACTGTATATGCTTATTACTTTAAAAACAAAAGATGATTATAATATTTCCCTTTTTTGGTTTCTTAGACAGCACATTAAATCTTAAAATTCTTGCCTAACTTATCCTTCACTACCTTTAGGTAAAGCATTGTCAATACCCCAAAGCCAGAATCTTACGAGGTTTAAAACAATTTTTTTTTAAACCAATCTCCTGCACTGGCCGTAGTATTGATTTAATAACTTCCCAAGACTATTTAATAATTATAATTATTTCATTGCTTTGTTATGCTTTTGAGACTTGTACTTAGGTAGACAGGCCCAATGGGTTGAATCTTACTTTTCTAACTGATTCTTAGTTAACTACTATTTTCCATCCAACCCATTGACCTAGGACTTAATTCTCAACTGGATGTATTTTTTAAGATGTAAACTTTGAGTGAAGTATAAAATACATAGAGAAAAACTAATTATTCTAAATGTATATATTGATGAATTTGTGCAGAATGAACACACCTGTTTTACCAGAAAGATAAAAAACAAGAACAGGATGGGTGCACTGGCTCACGCCTTTAATCCCAGCACTCTGGGAGGCTGAGGCGGGTGGATCACGAGGTCAACCTCGTGTGGATCACCATCCTGGCCAACATGGTGAAACATGGTGAAAACCCATCTCTACTAAAAATACAAAAATTACCTGGGAGTGGTGGCACGAGTCTGTAGTCCCAGCTACTCGGGAGGCTGATGCAGGAGAATTGCTTGAACACAGGAGGCAGAGGTTGCAGTGACCTAAGATTGCGCCACTGCACTCTAGCCTGGAGACAGAAAGACTCCATCTCAAAGAAGAAAAAAAAAGAACATTATTAGATTCCAGATGCCACTCATAGTCACCTTTTTCTAGACAGTGTCCACTCCCTGACTTGTAGCAAAATAATTAGTGTTACCTATTGTTGAACATTACATTAATATGATTATGCAGTAATATGATTTTGTGTCTGGCTTCTCTCATTTAACAATATGTTTTTATATTCATAGATGTTTTGTATGTGGTTGTAATTCATTCATTCATTTTCTGAAGATTCATTTTTAGTTTGCTTTGCTTTTTAGCAGTTTTGCTATGGTGTGCTTTGGTATCATATTCATTGTAATTATTCTGCATGGAATTTGCAATATTTCTTGAATCTATGAGTTGGTGTATTTTATACGTTTTTGAAAATTTGCAGTCAATATCTCTTCAAATATTGTTTTGCACCCATTCTCTCTCTCTCTCCTTTCCTTCTGCAAGTCCAGTTTACACGTTAGGCTTTTTCATTTGTCCCGCATTTTTAATACTTTTCTGTGAATGTGTCTTTCCATTCCCCCCTTTTCTTTGTTTATCAATTTTGATATACTCTATCGACCTAGAGCTATTCTATTCTGTTGAACTGTCTTCTTCTGTGTCTAATATATTGTTATTTCCATTTACTATGTTCCTGATTCCAGATATTTTATTTTACAGTTTTAGAATTTCCATTTGATTTTCTTTGAAGGTTTTAGTTCACTGTTAACATTTTCATATATCTTCACTTCACTTATATTTGTGAATATATTTATCATAATTATTTCAGAATTCCTGCCTGTTAGCACTGAAAATTGGAAAATCTGTGGATCTTTTTTTTTAAATTCTGTTTTCTTTTGGTTTTCAGGCATGTGGTTTTGTCTTTGATGTGCTAAGTAATTTTTGATTGAGTGCTGGAAATTTTTAATAAAAATTGTGGAGCCTGCAGATGAATTTATCTTCGATAGACAAAAGGGGGAAAAACTAATCTCCTTAAACAAATCAAAGACTGTGCTACTTTGATGCTGCATTGCAGCCCTCATATGGCTTAGCCTACCTCTGGTTCACCCTGGATCTTAGAGAGTTTTCAACTGAGTAGATGGAGAGACCTTCGGGGTCTCATTTTTTTTGAAGATCTCATATTCTACGTTTACTTTTAAAGCCTGGTGAAAATCTCAACCTACTTTTTAGAGATTTAATGTTAGCTTTTAGTCTTCTGCTCTGCACAGTCCCGTAACTTAGTCATTCTTCTAAGGTAAAACCCAGTAATATACTTGAACCCACCTTTGAAATCTTACCGGAAAGGAGCCCTAAGGATTACTAGTTCTTTTGATTTTTCTGTTTCCTAGGAGTAGCACTCTTTTAGTCCAAAGCCCAATTCTGAGACTCCTGCCCAACCTTAGAACTGGCAAGTGTCCCATGATAAAAATCAACTATAAAAGTCAGCTGGCTCACTCAAGATTCTCACTTCTCTAGTGTCTTCGACTCTCCAATCTTGGTGACTTATCAGTTTTCCAGTGCCTTCAAACAGATGTTTTGAGTATTTTGTCATATTCTCCCTAGCTGTTCTCTGTGGGAACACTGGATTACTGAAAGCTACTCAATTCCACCTGGTATGATATACATTTTAACTCATAATTTTTAAATTTTAGTTTAAATAGTATATTTTATTTGTTAGAAATTTGTCCCTCTATCTTTGTAGTCTGCCATTGGCAAGCTTTAAATATCAAGGGTCTGAATGTATACTTAGAGTATATCTATAGAGGTGATATGGTTTGGATCTGTGTCCCCACTCAAATCTCATGTCGAATTGTAATCCCCAGTGTTGGAGGTGGGGCCTGGTGGAAGGTGATTGCATCCTAGGGGCATTTTCTTATAGTTTAACACCAGCTCCCTTGGTACTGTCATGGTGATAATGATTTCTTGTGAGATCTGGTTGTTTAAAAGTGTGTAGCACCTCCCCCTGCCATCTTGCTCCTGCTCTTGCCACATAAGATGTGCCTGCTTCTCCATCAACTTCCACCATAATGGTAAGGTTCCTGACACTTTCCCAGAAGCCTAGCAGATTCTAGCATCATGCTTTCTGCACAGCATGAAGAACCATGAGCCGATCAAACCTCTTTTCTTTATAAATTACCCGGTCTCAGGTATTTCTTTGTAGTATTGTGAAAAAAACTAATACAAGAGGTATATCATTTCATGAATTAAAACATATAGAAAAGAGTGAATTTCATCAATAAGTGTATATACTAATTAAATAATTTAAACTTTCTAAAATTTATTAAAGCTTTGTGTTATATAAAGTCTTTAAAAGTAGAATTTAACTTTAAAATAAATATATAGAGAGAAAAACTTTTCAAGGTCTCAGAAATCTTTATCTGGCGGTACTGGAGGAACAAATGTGTACATTTGTTTCCCAATCCCCAATTTTATTTTTGAGTGCTTTTCTGATTAACATATGTTATCTTTATACTTGGATGTAAAATAGATTTTTTGAAAATTATGGTGTATCTCATATTTTCTAATTTCTATTTACAGTTTTATCTTTTTTTCTCTCTCTCTTTTTGTTTTTTGGAGATGGAGTTTCACACTTGTTGCCCAGGCTGGAGTACAATGGCATGATTTCGGCTCACTGCAACCTCTGCGTCCTGGGTTCAAGCAATTCTCCTGCCTCAGCCTCCTGAGTAGCTGGGATTACAGGCATGTGCCACCATGCCCAGCTAATTTTGTATTTTTAGTAGAGACTGGGTTTCTACATGTTGGTCATGCTGGTCTTGAACTCCAGACCTCAGGTGATCCGCCCACCTCAGCCTCCCAAAATGCTAGGATTACAGGTGTGAGCCACCGCGCCCCCTATCTTTTTCTCTTGAGGATGCTCATCTATGCCTATTAGTTCAACCACCAGCTATACACATTCCCACCCTAGACTACTCCTTTGCACCCAAGATCTATGCATAGGAAAATGTATTGTGATTTAAATATCACATAGAAACTTCAGACTTAACTTGCTAATTCTTCATCTATAACCCATGACTTGCAACTGCACTGAACATGAAGGAAACATATAATTTATATCAACTCACTGACTTATTGAATGACACCCCTGAACCTGCTCTGATTTTAAACCCTAATCTCTATTCCTTATCTTGGTTAACACAAGGGAGACACCACCCCCTTGAAATTATCCTAGGCTCCAAATATTACTTTTTATTTCTCATTGTAAAAATTGTCTCTCCTTTTCAATAAGAGATTTTCCTCAAATTTCTAGAAGAATTTGTCTTCCTATATCTATTTAAGAATAAAGCACAAAAATCTATCTGGAAGCTCAGTGTCTATTGTGAGAGCTTATTGAGTAATTGATTTCATACCAGTATGATTGGGAAAAGACATGTCATTTATGTTGGAGAAACCCTCAAATGTCACCCAGTTTTTCCTCAAGGGTTATTCAGTTCAATCAGAAAAGAATACTTAGGACTTCTTTCTGGGAGCTATAGAACTATAGACTTGATGGAATATGTTTTAGGATCTTTATTCTCTTCTCTCTCTCTCTCTCCGTGTGTGTGTGGGGGGTGGGGGGGTGCGGTGGTGGTGATGGGGTGAGTTCACTAGTAAGTACATGAACTTTTTTTTAGTATTGCAGATTTCTGTATAGTAAGTCAGATTTACCTTTTGGCATTCGTTATGTTCCTAATCTATCAGCTCTCCAGTTGAATTTCTCCAAAGAATAAATCTCCAAGCTTCAGTCAGGTTAAAATCAGGCAACTAACTAGCATTTCCAGTCAGTGGAGAAGTCCATAGTTTAGGTGGTCCATGCTCCCAGAAGATTCTGTGTGTAACTCTACCACAACATATGTTGTAGTATATTTTACCATGGCAGATATCTCTGCTTTCTGCCTATGAATTCCCTGAAACTAGACACTACAATCACAGTGATAGTATTTAATAAATATTTAAAGAATTGAAACAGTTGGGTTAGTTAACTGAAATGTTTAGGTTTAAAATAAAGGTTTGCCAAGCAAAACATACAGTTTTTGAGACTTTTAATAAGAACTTTTTCAAAAGGATATTAAAAAAATATATATATATATGTATTTTTAGGTTCATGCTTTTTTACAACCACATTTCATTAAATTAACAAATTTTTATTGAGTAAGTGTTACACATGGATTTAAGAAGCAGTTATACATCAACAAGCCAACCGACCAAAAAACGACCTGTAACTTCTGAACTGATAATAGAAAACAAACATTAAACATAAATGTAATAAATAAATACATTATATAATGAGGCAGAAGATAATAAATGCTATGAACATGAAGGCAAATTAGAAAAGGGTGAAGAGGATTGAGAGTGTTGGGGAAGAAGTTCAGTATGTAGCATTATATGTGTTTTTTAGGCCTCATTGATAAGATGTGATTTGAGCAAAGACTTGGAGAAAATGTATTAGTTAAATAAATATTGACAGGGAGAATGTTTTAGATAGAGGAAATAACTAGAGCAATGACTCTGATATGGTTTGGCTCTGTGTCCCCACCAAAATCTATCTCGAATTGTAATCCCCACATGTTGAGAAAGGGAACTGGTCAGAAGTGAATGGATAATGGGGCAGTTTCCCTCATGCTGTTCTCATGATAGTGAGTGAGTTCTCATGAGATCTGATGCTTTAAAGGTATGGCATTTCCCCCTGCTATACTCCCGTAAAGAAGGTCCTTGCTTTCCCTTTCGCCTTCCACCATGATTGTAAATTTCCTGAGTCCTCCCTAGCTATGCAGAACTGTGAGTCAATTAAACCTTTTTTCTTTGTAAAGTACCCAGTCTCAGGTATTTCTTCATAGCAATGTGAAAACAGACTAATACAGACTCCAATGAAGAAAACCAAGTGGTTCAGTGTGACTGGAATGGAATAAAGACGAAAAGGAAAAGTAATGGAAAATGAGATGAAATAAGCTCCAGTTAACATCAGGATTCTGAGGTCATTCGAAGAATCTTGGCTTTATGCTAAGAGAAATACAGTGTCATTGCTGAGTTTGGATAGTGATATGACATGATCACAAGTACATGTTATAGGATCACTCTGGTTGCTGTAGTAATAATACTGCAGGGGTGAAGAAAAAAATCAGGTAGATCTGCTAGAAGGGTATTGCAGTGGTGGTGGGAGAAGATGATGGTTCTGATCAGGATGGTAACAGCAGAGGTAGTAAGAGGTGGTTAGATTCTGAATGTTTTAAGGTGAAACTGATGGGATTGGCAGATTACTTAAGGATGGCTTTTGTCCTGAATAACTGAAGGATGAAAACTGTCAAAAGGTAGGGAGTAAAAGGCTGTAGGTAGACTGGCTTTTGTAGAGATCATATTAGGTTATATATTGAATTTGCCTAGTAGATATTTACATGACTATGTCAGGTCATCTGTTTAGGAGAGTTATTTAAGCTAGAAATATACACTGACAGTTGTAAGCGTGCATATGCTACTTAAAAGCCATGGGATTATATGAGATCCCAAGGAAGGGGGCATAGATATGGAAAAGAGAAGATCAAAGAATGAGTTCTAGGGAAGATCCAAATTAAAAGCTTGAGAAAGGAGGAAGAAGAAGTAAGGGAGATGGCAAAGGAGGTACCAGTCAGGTAAGAGGAAAACTAAGAGACCACGAACTAGAAACCTGGTGAAGAAAGTGCACCAAAGAAGAGGAAATAAATAATCAACTGTGTTGATTTCTGGTAAGTTAAATAGGACAAAAACTGGGAAGTGATCATTGCATTGAGTATCAGGGAGTTGCAATAAAAGAGATGAATTTGGTGGTAGAGGTTGTGGTGGTGAGAATGCAGACTAGAGTGAATATAATAGAGAATGAGAAGAGAGGACACAGAATAAAGTCTGTTGAGGAGTTTTGCATAAAAGGGAACAAAAGATGAAAAAAAGTCATCTTAAGATGTGAGAAGTAACAGCATATTTGTGTTCTGATGGGAAAGGTCCACCAAAGAGTGAACGATGGATGTGAAGGATGGGTAGAATTGCTGGATCTATGTCCTTGAGTAGAGGGGAATGATGGGAACTTGTGTGAAAGTCAGAGTTTTATTTAGAAAAGAACTTGGAAATGGCCTTGAAAATGACATCAGGCAGGAAAGCAGAGTATATGCATTCATGTTCTGGTAAATGTGAAGGGTAGATTCTTTGGAAGTTCTCTTCTGATTGCTTCAGCTTTTTCAGTGAAAGGGAAAAAATGTCGTTAGCTGAAAGTCAAGACAGAAAGAGGGTGTGGAGACTTGAGGAGTAAGAAGATGTGAACTACTTGTCTAGGAGAATAGAAATGTGAATGCACTAAAGACATATTTAACTATCACATGACATCATTAAGGGCCCACTGCAGGCCATGAACATGAATATAAAATGAGACCAGTCCATACGATGGAGTGTTTTTCACTAGCCAGATTCAATAGTATGAGTGTGGGGACAGAGGAGGAAGAGATTTGGATTTAATCAGAATAAAGATAGGGGCAAGAAAATTAAGGGTTATATGCAAGGTAATGATTATAATGCTTGACCACCATGGAGATTGTTTTCTGTATGTTTTTAAATTTCAGGTTAAATACAAAGAAATCAAACAGAATTCTTATTTTGTATAAACAAAGATAATATTTCCTGGAAATGGGAAAACAATAATGTGTTCATTAATCATAACATTAAATTTTTTGAAATTGAAAATTTAATTTTATTACATTTAAATGTTTTGTCTGAAGTATCATCATCTGTTTTCAGAACTTCAGTGGGATATCACCTTTCATATTTCAGCAATTGATTATTTTGTATCTATTCTCTGAATGGAAGTATATTAACTGCATAGCAAGTGAAGTTTAAAAACAAACTCTCTGACTTTCCAGCCATTCGAAGAGTCTTTTGCATCAGGTAATGTTTAAGGAAAAACTGGAATAGGATAAGATAATAGATAACACATTGAAGAGCATTGAATTCACTTCTAAATCTCATTTCCAGAATTAACATTAGAACATATACATATATATATCTCCATGATTTAGCTGACCATTGAAATTATGCTGAAAATCTGGAAAAAAGAAAACTGCATATCAGATGAAATTAATACATCTTGCAAATAATTACAAAATAGACTTTCAATGATCCTGATACTAGAAGAAGCAATGCAAATGAATGTGTATATTTCTTTTGCAATATTGTCTATTTGATTTGGCCCATTAGTTGGAGAAAAATATTTAATTGATCTTTAACATGGTACCTAATTGGTTATTTCCCATATGATTAGTTAGAAGACTCATTTCTCTCTAACTTAGCATTCTTATGAGTATTAAAGGAAGTTTATTTCAATATAATTATATTGCAGGGTCTCTTAACCTGAAGTATATGAACTCCCTCATATTGTTTGCAAAAGTGTTGTGTGTATGTGGGTACTTATGTACACACTTGATGTTAGAGATCCCTACTTTTACAAGCTGCTCCAAGGCCTCTTCGACCCTCCTAAATAGTACTGACAACTCATAAGTTAATGATAACAGAGCCACATGTTATCATTGATAACAGAGCCACATGTTCCTATGATCTAAAGAGAATTAATCTTATTTCATCCTAAATCTATTACAGAAAGGGTAAAAAATTGTCTGGACTATTCTAATTTGCATATAATGAAACTAGGTTACTAAAGGAACAAGCAGATTTACCCAAGTCACCCAATAGGCAACTGTGTTAAACACAAAAGCCACATTTGAAAAATTCCCTCTCCAGTGGACTAACCAGGAGGATGCAGTTTTTCAGCTGTGAGCAATTGGCTACTGATAATTTTGTTCATTAACAAATCAAGCAGCTGTTCTGATCTTCAGAAAAGCCCCTATGTTGTCCCTAAATACTCCAGTACAAAATCAGTGTAAACCAATTAAGTTACATGATGGAAGAAGCATGAGATGTATAACTGATGATTCACTTAACCTCAGCCCACTCTTCCTTCAGCTTTCTCAATAATCATCAACCTCCAGAAAAATGATAAGCTTTTACATCAAACTTGAATATATATGTGTCTGTGTATATATATATATATATATATATACACACACACACACACACACACACACACAGACACACTATGGTGAATTCTATCATTTAAAGAGAAACATGCATTTAAAATAAATTTAATTTTTTGTGGCTACCTGAACTTTAATCATTTTTAACACTGAAAAAAATATTTTATATCAGTGATTGAAGGTAACCTATGGCTAAAGATTTTATTATTTATGTTAGGATATCTGTTTGCACTTTAAAGGTATAAACAGGCAAAAATGGTGGAGATATTATTTTTAAATTATATTATTATAATTGACTCAAGCTACCAAAATGTGCTTAATTCATATATGTCAAAAAGAAATCTAAATTTGAATTTAAGAGGTGTGTCAAATTTAACACAATTATACATATTGTTTATATTTTTCATACAAATGGAATAAAGCACATGTTCTATCTCAGCCTTTTTAGCTATTAGTATTTTAGAAATAATTCAGATCTAAGCTCACTTTGTAAGAGCTGAAATAATCTTAACTATCCACAGCTTTTTAATTCATCTTTACAATTTTTTCTTTCTTTTGTTCAGATAATATCAAAATTTCAGAAAGTAGTCACACAACAAACAAAATTTTAAAAGCTGATTATGAAAATATACTTTAAAAATAATAACCTTTTTGTAAAGAATATACATTTTTAAAAGATATTTGCAAGAGGTGTTAATGCCGATAGTTTTAAAACATTAGTTTTAAATGTTGGTTTTAAACATTGGCTTATCTACTATACTGGTTTTCATCTTGCAAAACTACTTTGAATTTTGGTAAATATTAATTTTAAAATCATAGAATTTTTAGAACTTCAAAGGCCTCTCAAGTTTCTTGGTTCCAACTGCTTTATTTTACATTCCTAATAAAAGCTCATTAAGAAAATAATCTGATTTTTCACATTTATTTGTAAAAGGAACACACATTTCTATGCTTGGTCACTCAGCCTAGCTCTCTCAATAAAAGGAATGACCTTGAGTTGAACTACAGAAAGTAAATGGAAGAAAAGTTTACTGAAAAAAGTTTAGGAAGGATACAAGAGATTAATGCCTATATTTGTGTTGGACACCCTTCCTTGTGCTACATATTCAAAGTGATGGGATCATGTTATTTATTGTATTTTTCAGATCATTTGCAATGTTAATTTATATGAGTTTGATATCGCTTTTGTCTTTTAGTTGTGTGTTATTCTGAGAAATCCCTGGGGAAGCAAAGCATTTATATGCTTTGTGTACACGTTCTGCAGACTAAGCACTCTGGCATAATTATTTTTGGCACTCGCTAACTGATTAAAACATCCAATTTAACTCATGATCAGTAAGATTAAACCTTTTTTAATATACCTCAAAAGTAAATTATCATTTACTACTCAAACATCCCTTTCTGCACATACCCCAATAAAGCTGTTCTTTTTTCGTTAATGTACCTTTTAACGAGGATTCCCTTTTATTTCTTCCTTTGGGCAAAACTGCCTTATCCTTTATAGAGAGGTAGGAACAAAGATGAGATGGAGGCTGACTAGATAAGTACATGGATTTCTAATGTCATACCAATTACAAGTCTTTATTTTTGTGACATTCTGTAAAGAATTTGCTGTTGAAGAAAACACATTCCTGCTTTGTGTTTGTTTGATGTACAGATAAATGTGAATGGTTAAGAATAAATAATATTTGGAAAAAATTGTTTACATGACAGGTAAAAAGCTTGTGTCATCCTTTATTTAATTCTACATCAGTTACTTTTTAAAATTTATATTCAGTCTTGCCATGAAGCCCATTTAGCAGAATATTCAAAACATAGTTCAATATTAGAAGCATTTGAATGGAGAAAAAATGTTCCCAAGGATTAAAAAAAAAGCATGGTATGATCCTAAATTAGAATAATTGCAATTTGCAAGTCCCCTAACCTGCTGAGGATCCTTGCAGGGGTTCATCACCATAATGAGAGAGGAGGAAAATAAAATGTAATAGATAACTTGCATTGGTTAAGTTGGGGCTTCATGGAGTTTTGAACAGTCATAGGTGTAAGCACCTCACACACTGGGGGAGGTAGGAACAAAATCAGATTAGTAGAATCCTCCTGTGTGGATGCTAGAATATTTTTGTGTTCAAATATCCTCGTTACTGTCTTTTATGCATAGGATTAACATCAAATGAAACAAGAATTATGGAATAGAGCTTTAGATAGAAAATAGGTCAAGTTAACGCAATAAATATCCTGTCAAAATTTTGATCCAGATTTACAAATACTTCACCAGATTGCTAATAAGCCTGTAACCGTGCATGTAAATATTTGAACCGTATGAAAAATGCATCTGAGTTAAACAACACTATTATGCTCCAAATAGGTTGAACTACTGAAATATTGTCATAAACCAGGCAGAAGGGACACTTTTCTGGAATATGTGCTAGATAGACCAAAACCACTGCCAAAAGTTGCTTTATAAATTGTCAGGAAATTAAAATCTCCAAGTAGAGTAAATCAAGCAGTTGGTTACAAAAATTCTAAGAACTAGAAAAAGCAAGCTTACAAAAACTTAGCATAGATTTCCCAGTTTGGGATCTGTAAGTGTTGGAGTCTTCTGAAAGTACCAACGGAAAAATTGGCCATTCCTAAAAATACCCTTAAAATTATTATATCCACAGGGTGGTCTGCTCTCCGAGATATGTTCTGGATATGGGACTATCTTGAGAAGCCACTAATAAATGTGATCTTTTATTAGTTTGTGTTATATGTTTGTGCCAGCACTCTGAGCCTCAGGGGCTGCACATATGCATAAGCTCAGTGGGCAAATAGTTTCTCCATCTCCTCATTTAACATAAAATTAGAGAATAATTTACTGTTGAGGCATGTCATACATATTTCTAGGTTAGTGTAAAGCTTCTATGAGAGCTATCAAATTTCCATTGTATCATAGGACCTAATCTATGATCTTGATTTTTTTCCTCAAATTATTTATTTGGCCAAATATGAGAATAAAGACTAAAGTAAAATCTGATTCTGTCCACCATTATACCTAGTTTCTAATACATTTTCTTGATACTAATTGATGAAATAATAATTGGCATTCTTTTCTAATAAGAAGCAAGTTAAATTACTGATAAAACCATCTGTGAAAATGCAATATTTTATCACTTTCCAAGGGTGTTATCTATTTTTAACCAAGAATTAAAACTTAACTTTGAACATGCGAGAGGGTAAGCTTGTTGTGCTTATATTTTCATAAATTGGTGACTTTTGGCACAGGTGCCAAAAAGAGAACAAGAATTAATGTCTCAAGCCTTGGTTGTTAGGGTCTGATCATAAGCATTGTGGTGTAGAATTCATGGATTATTCATGTGTAATTACAGATAGCTATTGTGCTCCTTTAAATCATCCCTATGGCCCATTATGGCTCATAACAACTGAAATAGCAATTGTCATAGTAAGGTTTGGGCTCTGTCATAGAGTGTGGACTCTAATCAATAATGATGAATGGTAAAATTTTACATCAAGCAGTCCAAAGTCTGGTTGGCCCTCTCCATAAATCTGTACAAACACCAAACAGAGCAGCTGCAGAGTCCAGAAATTTAAAAGCCAACACTTGCCTTACCCCCTACAAGCATTTACCTTTGTAAAAGTTAAAAAAAAAAAAAAAAAAGGCGGGGGAAGGAAAGGAAATGCTCAATATATCAATTCTAATAATTCACATGCTGTTAGAAGAATTTCCCTCCTTTTTAAATGGGAGTGAACCCTACGTTGTTTTCAAGGTCAATTTCAGGTGAAAGGGGGGTCATCTAGAGGTCACTTCAGCTCCCATGCAGGTCAATAACGCCTCTTCACTTCCATAGCAGACAAGCTGCTCACACCCAATCAATCCACCAACGCGGCTGCTGCACCAAGCGTAATGAACAGTGAATAAATGTAGCCTATCATCACAAAACATGCTTTTTAAGTACCTTTCCTTTTCATGTAAAACCTCTCGCTGTCAAATTCTACATTCACTCATCCAGCAGTGAGTAGCAAAAGTGAGAAATCAGACTCTCATTGGGGTTGGTAAAAGGTCACAGCTGACAGACACGGAGGTTAAACTGCCGAGTTAAAATACTGTTCATTACCCACTGCAGCTTTTTGCTAACTACACTTCTTTGTGTTATAGTCAAGCAGTACATCAATATGCCCCTCCTCCTAATTTATTAGCAATTGTTGAATTGTATGAGGTGGAGGCTAAAAGAGAAATTGATGTCTTATATGTGTGCATATATATATATATTTTCTTTTGCTCTTTGAATACTTCTAATTCCGTATCTATTTTCATACTCAATACCGTATGTGACAGCGTGTCTACTTGAGATGCACCTTAATTATTAGGGAGACATAAATTCTAAGATCAGAAGAGACTAGACAGTCTAAATTCCAAAGGGCTGGGGTCAGTTGTTTGGAGACTTTTTTTTTTCCATTCAGATTTTTCTCTTAAAATAATTGCATATGGGACATTTTGATTTTTTCACTTAAAGAAATTTGATTAAATATATGGGGACCTATAATTTATACCAAAATTGCAAAAAAAGCATATTGAATGAAATGTTTAAAATTCAATGCATTAAAAATTGTAAGATATTCTTATGCTGATAAGGTTAGCCCCTATGAAACACATTGTCAGTCCAGAATACAATCTGTTATTTTTGAGAAAGGGGGGTAATACCTGCATTTTAAAAAATTAATTCTGATATAATCAAAGGAGTCTTTAATAGCAGTGAGTAATCACCGGAGTTTAAGTGGAAACAGTACTTTTTCTGAATTCCGTTGACTAAATGAAATGGTTGGGTATGAAATCTGAATGGATTAGAACACTTTTCCAAAAATAAAATTTTATTCTTTGATTAATCAGTACGTAGGTGGAGTTCCCTTTATTGAAATGCAGAGGCTTTATATTTAAAGATACCCACGTAAAAACAAGTCTTAGAGTGAACCAATACAAAATCACAAATCACGAATTAAATAAAGGTTTATTTACATACTCTCTACAACAATAATTTGACTCAACGAAATTACCATTATCTGTTTACATCTTTAAAAAATGCATTCTGAGATTTATCCTAGAAAAATATATCTTTCCCCCCTCCTGCATGCCTTCTCTCTCAGTGGGACCGAAAATAAAATGTTATGACTTAAATCACAAGAGGCTAACATCATTTTTAGCAACAAGGGCTGCATAATTTCAAGACTATGAGTGAGTGGCTGACTTTAACTAAAATGTTTCAGTTCTGTGCGTATATAGGTACATAAATAATTCAGAATTAATCCCTGCAGAGGGGACAATGGGAATCGTAAATTATCCATGTGCCGTCCTCAACATTAGAGGCAATGAACCTATAGTAACAAACTATGAGTGTTACTCATTACATACATTTCACAGACACCTTAACCTTTTGAATATTAATTTCCCTCTGCAGCTTGTAGCTAGGCAGTATCATTTTTTTTTTTTAATTTTCCTTCCCACTCCTCTTGCCTTCATTTCCTTCTCTCTCTTTCATGAAACCTCCCAAACCGTAGTTAAGCTACAGCTACTGAGTAGATGTATTGGGATACATTGATTTGTTACTGAAAGGATTTTTTCTTAAGCTGCATGTTTTTTTTCTATAAAAATCTCTTAATATTACATGTAGCATTTCTGCAGAGTGCAAGATGAGGTGTAACAGACAGACTGTCTTTATGAAGACAAACGACGTTGCAAATGTGGGCCAATCTAACTCCATTGGGGTTGACAATGTCCTTTGAATTTCACAAATATATATCATGCTTTTTGTTTAACTAGGAAGATATTGCAGAATTGTCATACATTTCATCTGAAGAATTAAAATAAAGATAAGTTTAAAAGACCAAGATAGTTCTCAATTATAAAATTTGGTAGGTCTTCGTAAATTAGAGAGTTTATTTTTAAAATGATTTAATGAGATAAAACAATTGGTGTTCTCTTTTTGTCTCTAAATTACACCCCTCACTAAAAAACATTCTAATAAGCTTTATAACTTTTATTTTGAATAATACTGTAGAAAGAAAAGGAGATTTTTTTTCTGGTATAATGCATTATGCCTCATTCCTGTCTATTAGATAAATTGAAATTTTTGTCATGAAAAAAATTTTTGTGACAAAATTTACAAAATAAATATGAATATATATTTCTTTATAATTATATACACATATATATATACATGCATATATGTATTACATATAGACACATGAATTTATACGAACAGAGTTATAAATCCCAGCATTCAACTGAACTATACATAATATGAATGGGGGCCAACGTATGTAGCTGGAGTGAAATTGGATTCAGCGTCATGCTTTTCAGATATTTCAACAAGCCCTTCCCCAGCAAAGCTGTGTGGCTCACTCCTTCATCTTTCTATACCTTCCACCAATGCCCAATTTAAAATTAGAAACCCGCCAACATTCTCCTAGCTTTCTTTCCTTGCTTTCTTTATCTCTGAAGCTCTTTTAATTCTGACATAATATATTTTTAGCTGATATATTTATTGTCCAGGTTGTACGTTCTTTGAGAACAGAGAGTTATGTTGATTTTGTTCACTGCTTTATCTTGAATACAAAGAGAGATAGTAGAAGCTCAATAAATGATGTTGAATAAATGAATCATGGTAGTAAATCTGAGGTGTCTAGAATTATTTGAGTTCAATCTAATCACTCTGGTCCTAGCATGCCTTACTAATGAGTCTAATAAGGACATTCATCCAAGAGAACACTCTCTTTCTGTGGCATCACCTTACCCTCCACCCCATCTTTTCCCCTTATATGTTACTTTAGGGCATCCGTTGCCTTCAGACTCTCCCTGACACTGCTTTTATTAAAATTAAAGCTTGCTCTCAGTAGAAGTCTAATATCATCCATTTCAATTTGTTCCATAAAATGCAATTGCATTATCTGATATTGCACAGTTTAAAGAGTTGTTCTCTATTAAGGAAATTTTCAGTAAGAATAATTAAATTAGATGGAGTCTTTATTTTTTTCATTTTGGTTGAGCACACACTTTTTTTTTTGTCTTGTTTTCAATTCATATAATGTAAATTTCCATTTCCTCCTCATACATATAATGGCAATCCTGTCTATGGTTCATTTAAACAAATTGGAAATAGCCTTACCAGTAACTGGGGAGGGGCTACCAGGCATGTGAACTCCCACACTTTTTCAGGAGAGGCAAGTTAGAATTCTTAATATGTTGAATGAGCAATAAATTACATTTTCTTATTAAAACAAGACATCTCTTCCTAAAGTACAAACAGTTCTTTGAAGTGACTGAAGACTGGGTTTAGAACTTACTTGGGAAAACATTTTTGTATTTGTGAAGGAAAGCAAAGAAAAATTTTTACCTTTTAACACAGGAGAGGGCTGAGTTGTGTTTTATGGCATCATGTTGGCATCAGGGATGTGGATGCAAAATTATGATTAGGAAATCACAATTCATAAAAAATAACATATAGATTCTTTCATAATGCAATTTTATGAACAGACCATGGTTAATGCTACAATGTCTGATTAAACCATTTTTCCCATATTTGTGTGAAGGTCTGAAAGCAAAGGCCCCATACATAATTCATGGCAGCTTTTCTACACCACGTTCTGAGCATGTCATTTAAATATAACTTTGGGGACTGTTCTTCTTTGTAACCCAATCCTTTGTCTATCCATTTAGCAGAAGTTATCACTTAGTGAAGAATGACAATGCTGTAGCAGGAATGAATCTCAGTCCTTAATCAGAGTTATGTAAAAAATGTAGTATTTTAGGCCAGTTGTGGTGGCTCATGCCTATAATCCCAGCACTTTGGGAGGCCGAGGCGGGCAGATCACCTGAAGTCAGGAGTTCAAGACCAGCCTGGCCAGCATGGCGAAACCCCATCTCTACTAAAAATACAAAAAGTAGCCAGGTGTGGTGGCAGGCGCCTGTAATCCCAGCATATTCGGGAGGCTGAGGCAGGGAGAATCATTTGAACCCTGGATGCAGAGGTTGCAGTGAGCCGAGATCACACCATTGCACTCCAGCCTGGGTGACAGAGCAAGACTCTGTTTCAAAAAAAAAAAAAAGTGTAATATTTTAATTTTCTATAACAGAACTTAAGTTTTAATTCAAGCCTTCATTTGGAAGATACAGTCAGTCAGGGTGTCCTCTACCCATCTCTGTGTTTTATCTACATTTCTGGGTGTTATGCAATGGTAAGGTTTTGGAGTATGGGAGTGTTGCTCACCACCACTGCTGTCACCTAACCTGGCACCTGCTGGGACATCTATTTACCTAATGGGCTTTGGCTTTTGGATCAAGCACTTATCTCCTGTATTATTCCCCTCTGCATTACTTGGCCTTTCTTAATGTCCAAATGACCACCTTTTTCTACCAGATACTTTACCCTCTTTGTTGCACAGAACACTGTAATATTTTTGCCTCTTGTTGAGGCCACAGGAAACTTCCACCTGTCCCTATGACTTTCTGGATCATGAAGCTTTTGAGTTCGTGTCAGTCAGAACCTTCTGATAAGACATGCCACTTAGCCATCTTTAATCTCCCTCTCCTGGACTATCTATACTGGATGAGAGCATAACACCAGGATGATGTAGTTGTTCTCATCACTATATTAAATGCAAGCAGTGAGCACCAATCCTCTTTGTCCTTTGATTTTTCTATGCCCATGTCAACACACTTTTCCCTCTGCCTTCCTCTTCTCTTATCACTCCTATAAGGAGCAGGACACTAGAATCTGTTTGTGAAACAGACATCTAGAATACAGTTACTGAAAGTACTTACAATACTTGTAATAATCTCTCAGGATGCCATCAAAATTTTCAGAAAATACTGTTATAAAGTGGGCATATTTATATAGCCAAGTAGCTAGTAAGGTGAGTTATCAGTAAGATAATTTGTTACCCCACAGTGAAATATGTGATAAATGGGACAATTACTTCAGTTGGAAGCAGAGGAAACACATCTCTTTCTGTAGAAGGTAATGGGAGCAGAAAAAAAAAAGGCAGCCCTCTCTGCAATCTATCACAGTATCCCCTTGAAGAGTAAATATTAGCAAGAGATGATTTCAAAGTGAATAAACCAACTCAGAAGAGTAAAGAGTTACAACTTGCTGAAGAACCAGGTTTCCCGCAGTCCAGAGAAAAATAGTTTCCCTAATTTTCCTATAGTTTTTTAGGGGTATCATTTCTGATGGTAGCCAGATTTAGTAGGCACAACTATGATTTAGTAGACATGTATCTTCTTGGGAAACATTCATGTTTCCCTTTTCATAAAATCATCCTCAGTCTGCAGAGTAAGACAGAAAGTAATAAACTTATGTCCTTGTTAGTCATTTTCATTATTTTTCCTTTCCAAACAAAATATAAATACATAGGTGTTGAGTTTCCGTTTATAATACCACCCCTTTAAATGTTCAGTTATTTAGTTAGGAGCAAAAACAGAGAAAATGGCAGCAGGCAAATCTGCTATTTAGTAATATGCCATAAGCAAAAGATCAAGTAATATGGCTAAAATATCTTCACAATGAACACAAGCCAAGCATTCCTATTAAATCAGGTAAGTCTTGCATGTAGGCCTGAAGCGGGAAAAATTGCAATGTCTTTTCAAAAATTCAAGTTGTGATGTGTAGTATTATGAGATTGTTAAAATTTGTATGCATAGCTAAATCAACTCTTTTCTATGAGTAGAACAATCAAGGTAATTTGGAATGTATAATGGAGACCCTGTTGCCAAAGTACTGTTACTGCATGTGATGTGGAATATACCATGTTTCTAGCCATTTTAATACTTTGCACATAGTGAATACCAAATAAATGCTTGCTGAACCACTGAAGAAAACCGTTTCTCCCTATACACATAACTGCCCACAAATTATTGATTTCTGAAAGATTTTAGGTTAGTACCTAAATATATACCATCTTTAGTAACATAGTCTATTGGCTTAAAACATGATAATGTAATAAAATGCAAATACCTGGCAGAGAGTTAACATAGATGTTACCTATGCCATAGATCGTTTCCCTGAACATTATAAGAATAAATGTAAGAAGGTCAGTAATGAGACCATTAAGTTACTAAGCATCTGGAGATGGAAGGTGTGTCACCAAGATAAGAAAATAATTTTTTAAAATGCAGAAACTGGTGACATCAAAGGGAAACTTAACTTATTTCTCACTTTTGGTCTGCATTATTAATGTTCTCATTTAAAGACTAGATAGTGACTACAATCAATGATTTCAAACTTCAATGTTCATCCTGAGAAAATTAATATCTGCATTATGCTATTGTAGGGAGGTGTATAGAGGGGTTAATATTAACCGACACAGTAGAAAGATAGCTATGAAAGCAGTGATTGTAGCCATGAAAAATATAGGGATTGCTAAAAAGTACTCTTTTCTTTGCTTATAGTATTGCTAAAGTAAAACTCTACTCAAAAATACAAATTATATAGCAATGCAGATGCAAAGCAAATTTAGGTGGTGTTTTCCCCAAAGTGTGAGTGCATTCTTAAAATATTGGAAATAATAATATCATGTGTAATGATAAAATAATATAGGAAGTCGCAATGTTATACAAAAACTTTTCAGTGAAATTAACAAAAATATGCATTAAAAAATCAAAAATTGTGAAAAAAATTCTAAATTTAAGAATTATATAGCTGTAACATAAAACTACTAGGATATTTCTAGAAGTGAAATCATACTTAACACCCAATTTGCCTTGCCCCACTTTTATTCTTATAATCTTATAATCTACCATGCTCAAACAATGTGTCCAAGGCTAGTGCTTCTCTGAGATAGTATTTCTGGGAATGAACTTATAATACTATCAGACATATTATTGCTGCCAACTCTTGGTAATAGTGCATCGAGAAAGGGCTACAACTTTATTGTAGAAGCCGGGCAAAACTATTGGAAATGTTAAAATCTGGAGACCCTAGAACTTTTACTTCTCTATTTTTTATATACTTGGGTATGTACACATATACATAAACACAAACATATATAGCTACATATGTGACTCAAAGAAAATAAACTTCCAGAGGTCAAGTACTATATCATATACATGGAAATACAATTCATTAAATGATTCCTATATAAAAAGTGTTTTATGCATTTTATGTGCCTCATGGTACTCAGAACTCTGTAAATTCTCTAAAAATTTAACACCAATGATAATCCACCAAAGTTGGTGTTATAGGATATCCTTATATATATTTTTCCTAGTTTCTGATTTCTAAAGGGCTCCACAGGTCCTTTTGAATTCCCCTTCCTTTAAGCTCATGGATGATTACAACAATATCTTAAAAGTTGATGAGTCACTTAGAATCTGAAGAAGAAATTGATCTACTCAACATTTTTCATAACCAGCCTTGGGTCAGAAATTTGAAAAAGTAACAGATACAATGGATATTTGGGTATTTTTGAGGGATGTCATTCACTAGACAGAGGAAACTAATACCAATTTATTGAGTTAATAAAAACATCCAGATGAATTAAAATATTTATTTTTTTCAATTTTGTATTGATACATAATATTGTACATATTTATGGGGTACGTGTGATATTTTGTCATGCATGAATATGTAATGATCAAATTGGGTTATTTGGATACTCATACAAATACTCAAGATACTTATGCAAATACTCAATACTCATATAAATACTTAAGTTATGGATATTTCAAGTCAGATTATTTGGGATATCCGTGACCTTCAGTATTTATCATTTCTATGTTAGAATGATATCCCAAATAACCTGACTTGATCATTACAAGTTGAGAACATTTCAAGCTCCCTCTTCTAGCTACTTTGAAATACACAATACATTATTGCTAACTATAGTCATTCTACTCTGCTATAATATTAAGATTTATACCTTCTATCTCACTGTTTGTACCCATTGACCAGTCTCTCTTCTTCCCCCCAATTATTGAAAATCATAAGAAAAAATTTTGACTAGAAAAATTTCTTCAAGTTCAAATTAAGTGTGATAATTGCCCATTTCCTTCTTGGAATTAGTCTACAAGTTCCTTTTTTGCAGGAACTTTGTCTTTTTAATGATTATATCCCTTGCATCTGAGACACAATATTCAGCTGATATCAGCTGAAATGATGAATGAATGAATGATTGAAAAGCAATTGATATACTTGCTTAGTTCATCTTCAAGTTGTAAACACTTGAAAGTTTTGCCCAGCCAGAACACATTCCATTATACAACAAATTGTGGGAATAAAATGGATAAGGTCATAATATTGTGAATGTAATATTTTTGTATGGTGTTCATTCAAAATAAAATCTTTGCTTCAGGGGAAAATATGAATCAAATTATTTTTATCTTTTCACAATGTTATAATGCATTTATAGACTCTCAAATGTTTTCATTTATTAGGGGGACAATTTTATTTTACTTAACCTTTCTCCAAATTTATGTTAAAATTAAATACGGAGTATATTTTATAAGAAAACTCTGAAGTCAAATTTAAAAAAAAAAAACTCAGATTTCCTGGTGAAAGAGAAAAACTTCCATGCTTGAACATTTATTTTGTAGCTTATGTTAAATGAGCATGAGATAATTGTGTGCTTAAAAAGAATGAATCAAGTAAACCCACTTGACTGTGACTTACAGATTACATGGTTTTCCTTCTTAGAGGAAAAAAACCTCCTCACAAACCACAGTCCAATTATTCAATTTCCCTTACTAATTATGGAAACTACTCATTTCTTGGCCTCAAACAGTAGATGATACATCTATTAAGAGTGACACAAAATTTGTCACCATCTATGGCTCATTTTATTCAATGTA
Organism: Homo sapiens; assembly: GCF_000001405.40. Taxonomy (NCBI): domain Eukaryota; kingdom Metazoa; phylum Chordata; class Mammalia; order Primates; family Hominidae; genus Homo; species Homo sapiens. The sequence goes on along the minus strand of NC_000005.10, from coordinate 92,704,654 downwards.
AATGTTTCTGGAAAACAAAAATAAATAGTCTAGAAATTTCTGCATTCAATGTGTTTTAGATATGCATAATTTCTGCTATGTGAGTCTTGGTTCATGCCATCCTCTAAACAAAGTTGTGGGGTATTTCTGTTGTCCTCTGGGACAGTAAAAATACAGAAAGACAACAATTAAAACATGTCTATAAACATGTTTTTTTCCATAATAAAAACTGATGTTTAAGACATCAATTAAATAATTAAATTAAGCCCATATTTCATGTTTTTACAACTATCATTTGAAAATTATATTAATTTATTTTCTATATCGTGCAACAGGAATATTGCAGTTACAGAATGAAAAAATTCTCTTTCACACCTTTTCAAATGTCCTCTTAAGTAGCTGAAGATTCAGGGGCAAATTAAGCTCTTCAAAAAATACATTTAAAATAGTTTTAAGGATTATATGGAGAACTAATGAGATGGTATGTGTGGTATGCTTGCTTTGCAATCATGGAATCCTGTACTAAATATAGTTACTAAAATTTCAAATGAGTTTTTTTTTGGCAACCAAAGCTTATAGAATATGGAGCTCCTGAATGCAGAATTATTGGGTAGGAAATAAATATTTTAGGAATGTGTTCCCTTTAAATTAGATATTTACCTAGAAAAACTAGCCCTTAAAAAGCAGCTGTTCTTGATACATTTGCTTCTTTTTCCAGTAGTCATAACTGAATTGTTTCAAAGAGAATCTTGAGAAGTTATAGGCTTACTAACTTAGCTCATGAAAATAAATTGGTGTACTTTGAAAGCAGTAATTACAAATCATGACAATCATACTTTTTATTTAACTACATAAGCTACTTAAGGAGTATGAGTTAAAAAATTGGTGACAGTTAATAAATCTCTTTATTAATCATTTTCCTTTTGGTGGATTATGTTGAAGACAATTTGATACGATTTAATACCCAGAATATTTTTATCACCCTCATCCATATATTAGTAAAACAAAACAAAACAAAATAAAACAAAAAACGAAACAAATTTTGTGAAATCAAGAAGTGCAATACTATTTTGAGAATAATGTTTAATTTGAAACAATGGGTCATTTTAAAGGTTTGAATGTAAAGATAAAGCTACTAATAATAAAGTAACTAAAATTTAGAAATAAATTCCTCACTGGGCCTTTTTGGAAACTAAGACTCACCCATATGTTAACAGTGATTTTAGTAATCACCAAACTAAACAGAGCACATGGATCAATACTACTCTAATAAATTCATTGCCTTGTAATGGTGTATTCAACAATATAGCAATAAAAGAGACTCAAAGATAAGAATGTTAACTTGTTTGATCACATAATGTTTTGTGGAGTATAAATCACAATTACTTAAAGAATAGCAGGCACCAAAATGACCATTTATATAACGGGAAATGTACACGTAAATTAAATTCCTTCATATAATTATGTCCAATATGTGTTAGTTGAATTGGAGTCTTAATGTTTTATCATTAGGAACTATTTTAGGCCATAGAACATCAATCACTTTCCCTGGCTAAAATTCCCTTGTTATTTCCTTCCACTTTATATTCTAGGCAAAACAAAATTCACTCTTACTGAGCTGGAGACTTGTTATGAGAGCAAACCCAACTGGAGAAAGACCATTATATTAATATTTGTTGGATCATAAAATTAATCATGGTTGCACTACATTCTCCTTCTATTCTTGTGCCCTGCCTTCCTCTTATTCATATAATTTATCAATAACAGATATATAATAATCATTTGTTTATCTATTTAATATATATCTCCTCTCACTAGAATGTAAGCTCTATGGGAATAGGAACTTCATCTGTTTTGTTCATTTCTGGATCCTCAGAACCTGGTATGTAAATATTGAATAAATGTTTGTGGGATTAAATAATTAACATCAAATTCATATGGATACATTTATAAAAACAGCTATTCTCTTATAAGAATAGAGGAAAAACATTTATTACTCTCAATGTTTGCCATAGGATCATGTTTCCTCCTGTTAGTTTACTTTTATGAGTATATATACATGATTGGTATATACAGATACTTTACAAAGAAATCACAGACATTATTTATAGGAAGCTCACAGAATATTAAAATTATAACTAGCTATTTGAAATCTAGAGTAAGGGATAGAAAAGGCATACTCAACACTAACAGGAACATATTTATTTTGGATAGAATTTGAGTTGGCTAATAATAGTGCATGCCCAAAATTATAAACTCATATCTAGGGTATGTGGTTCCTGAGAGTGCTAGTTCTGTACAGAACAAAATATAGCCTTTTCAAAATATAACCAAGGATTACATTTAGTTTAGGTACTCCAGGTTAGCATAAAATACTTTTTTAGATTTGAAGAAGAAAAAGAAATGCCTAAAAGCACATTTCTAAAAGGGATAGAAAAGGTTGGAACACTAAAAAATAAAAATTTTGTTTTATTTTAATACTTGTAATACACAAAAGAACACTTTTATAACTTAATTTACTAACCATATCATTGATATTTAACCTATGTACTAAAAAATACCTTTCTAATATCTGAATTTCTTACATTATATGGTATAATCATGTGTTCCTGCCGATATTTAGAACACCATCAGATAATCTTATTTGACTTTTTACAATAGGGAAAGAAACTCCATAAATTCAGCTTCTTGCTAGATTAAAATCACATATTGTTATATCACCTTATTTCATAATTTAAAAAAGACAAATTTTTGTTACCTCAAAAAATATGAATTCTCAAGAATTTCTCTAGGATTGGTTTCACCAAAAAGATACATTAGATAATAGTAAAATTACAATATTGACTTTTCTGTATGGAAGTTTTCAGTTTCTTAAAATTCTGCTCTAGTTAAAGAACTTTGAAAGTACACACAAAATGCTTTCATAATCCCCTAAAACAAAATATTTCATTTAATGTTCTATGAAAGATTTGACTATTATTTTACTAAATTTAAATGAGTCTTTATGTCAAATTGATCAGATATTTTGATGTCATGAAGATATATCCTAAATCAGTAATTTTTATGAAGAAGTATAAGTAAAATCGAAATGGTAATTATTAGGTCTTTGTAATTATTGTCTGAGTATCTAGGCTAAAAGTGGTATTTTTTTTACCTTAGTTATTTTGACAGGTAACTCAATTATTTTATTTATTTTGAACATAAATCTAATGTAAGCAAATGTATAAAACTTTCTGTAGTTACAGTTCAATTAATTTAGCCCACATCACTGGAGTGAGATGCCATCTTATCATAGACATCATCATGATAAATCTATTTGGTCTGTAATTTTCAAATCTCACATGTGGTTAAAATCCACTGTTCTAAATATTTTATTTTCTTATACTGTGTAAGCGGAATGGGTATCTAAGTCATTACCTGTGGAACTTAAGCACCCACCTCTTTTGTCAACAAACACATTCTAGCTTAAAATATTTGTATGATTTCTTTACTTTACTGATCACTATTGTTATTATTTTTTGTTTAGGTATTTCTATACCAAGTTTAGAATTTACATTTCATACGTAGCTATTTGGGCATAAATTGCAACCTTCAGAAACGTCAGAAATCCATAGATCATTGAAAACATTGGAAGCAAACAAAGCAATGGGGGTGCTCTGTGCTGATTTTCAATATTTGACACACATTTAGCTGATGGTTAATTTAATTAAAAAAAAATGAGGTAGAAAGTTATTCACCAGGAGATAAGTGAAGACTACCAGGAATCAGCTAATAACTTGTTCTTAGATTAGACTGAACCTAGGTCACAAAGGTAAGCATCTAGCTATTATACGGCCAACTTTATATCACTTAAGTCAAGCTTGAAAAAAGCACGTTTCAGATGTTGACTTTTGCTTTCCCCAGATGTATGTGATCTTTGGAGGAGAAAAGGACAGCGTTAGGCCCTTGGTGCCTGCATTTTCATGTCTTTCTCAATACTGCAACCATGCTGTGTTCTTTGGAGATGTTCTTTTACTGGACTGCTCCCCAATGAAACTGGGCTTGAAGTGTCAATGGTATCAAGAGAGATCATAGGGTACCCCTCTAAATCTGCCTCTGGTTGATGTCAGTCCTGCTAGCCCTGTGGATTCTGGTCATAGCTGCCAACTTTCTCTTTGAAACTTCTTCCTTTTCATTATGTTTAGGTGCCTCTCAAGTCACCGAGCTTTGGTCCAGACTCAAAATCAAATTTCTTTCTTCTCGTCTCTCCCTGACTGATCTCAGAGATATTACAAAGCACATTAAATCTCCAAAGAGAGACAGCACTTAAAAGTGCGATTTCACTTTTGTGTTAACTCACAAAAGTCAGTATCTCTGACTGATCACATATGAAAGAACCCTTAAAAAGAACAGTATCACATTTAAAAAAATTAAAGCATTTTAAACTGCTCTTTTGGGTCTATCTTCTTTTAGACTCTTCAACCTGATATAATGGTGGGGGTAGGTGGGTGGAAACTTGGTCTAAAAAATAATGATTAGCAAATTTAGGAAATTCTTTAACTTTGGCTGGATACTTTTTGCTTTGTCAGTGCTACTGGCGGTGTGTATATTTGATTTCTCATTTGACCAATTCCAATTACTCTATAACAGTTTCTGTTTTTGAAAAACTAGTCTCTTTTCTTCTCTTTTGGATACAAAAATTCATAGTGACAATACTGGAGAGAGAAACAGAATTATATGTTTTCACAAATATAAAATTAAGGAGTGTTACTTTAGAAAAGGTATGCCATCTTAAAAATTAAACTATGGTGGAATTTTATTAAAGAAAGAGAAGTTAACCAGGTTGGCTAAAACGTGGAGATGATCTCAGACCTGTGATTATGACTTATTTTGCTTTTAGAGAAGAGGCCCTTAATTTTAACATATTTACCAAGGATCTTGAACATCTTGCCAAATAGATAGAATAAAGCTTAGAAAAAATAAGTTGGTCCAACTTTTCCAAAGCAGTATTTGTTTGTAATACATAAATTGTAAGGATGGAATCCAGAAATCTTCAAGTAGCTCTTATAGCACAATGTGGAATACCAAGCAAAGGTATGTGATTAATAACTGCTTATTCTATCAAGGGAAAACTAAGTAATTGTCAATCTCACATGCCATTAAGAATCATCAATGGCTGGGAAGTCATATATAGATTTGATTTCCATAAAATATTTCTTATTACTTAAATCTCTCCAAACTTTAGAAATTTTTAATTTGATGTTAACATTTCACTATGGGGTGTGTGTGTGTGTGTGTGTGTGTGTGTGTGTGTGTGTGTGATTTTCAATTTCTGGTGTTTGTTAAGATGATATTACCAAGAAAAGAAGAGAAAATGTAGAGACCAAATTTTAGAATATCTGGTACACTTAATGTGAATTATCACTATTGCTTCTCAATTAAGATTGTATTATGCATCATTTTTCACACAGGAAAGGCAAGCTATGACTACAAATATTCTTTCTTCAATAGATTTTATGACTGGTGTCAAATTGTATTTTCTTTTTCTTATGTGTTAAGTAACTGTTAGAAACTTTTATATTTTAAACCTTGAGGCAAGATGCTTACAAGTATTTCCATCCTATGGAACAACTTTTAAACTTTTTATGCTATTGGACAGAATAGATATAATATATGAGTTTAAGAACCCTCTTGGAGTTTACTGAATTCTTATCCATTTATATAGTGTGAGGGTTTAGTTGATAACTCAATTTTCTCCAAGTCAGAGTAGTTGACATTTTGATTTTGACTTTCACATATTGAAAAGTTGTTCCAGATTCTACTTTCTAGCTGGTTCACTTGCATTGACTTTTTTAGATGAACAAGAGCACACTTCATTGACAGGCTTTCCAAGACTTTAGGTAAGGTAAATTCAAGATGAAACTCAAATTTATGTTATTATAATCTCAGTCCAATAGATTATATATAATCTATATCTGTAATATATATAATCTAGATATATAATCTATTGGACTGAGAGCACAATGGAGCACAAATACTAGCACATCATATTATAGATGAATTATAATGTCAGGGTCCACTAAATAAATAGTATCACTGGATAAATAATTTTTCTGGTCTTATAAGTGCAAAAATGTCTACCTATATGGTATTTAAGACATAAGGATCTCACATATACAATGACCATCATGATAGAAAAATAAATAAACAGCACTAAATCAAAGCTTTTGTGTAATTCGAAACTGGCAGACTGTGTGCCAAGTCTTCAATTTAAAAGATTTATAAAATAGGATTTATTTCTAAAGCATTGTCCTCTTGGTTATTCTTAAAAGGTGATATATCTTACAAAATAGCTAAGATTAGTCTTCTGAATTAAATATTCTATCTTACATAAAAATAGGTGTTTTAATTTTTGGAAAAATAACAGTGACTTCTTTCAGATATATGAAGTTAACTATTGTTACCTATATTTGTAGCAAAATAGCTGTTCTCACCAAAATTAACCCGGTAATAGCCAATTTTTTTTTTTTTGAGCAATTGTTACATGCCAGATACTGTTTTATGCACTGACAAATATAAACTCATTTCATACTCACAAGTGCTCTATGTGGTAAATATCACTATGAGATCATTTCAAAGATAAGGAAAGTGGAGTATAGAGGTGTGAAAAAAAATTCCCAGTGTTACACAGCTCATATATGTTGATTCAGAACCTATTCCTTTACCCAGTGATTGATATTGCCTATAAAATTTTTTGATATTTTTCTTTCCTGTCTTGGATGCCTCCTTCCCTCAGCTCACATTGCTTCTCCAGAGGACAAATATTGAGATGTAAGTGAAAAATGTAGTTTATAATTTAAGAGTTCTGATTTTTTTTACTAAACAAGATTAAAATGAGAAGCTGATTTTATAATGTGTTTTGTTTTTTTTATTGCATTTCAACAAGATTTGTGGTCCTATACCAACATAACTTAAACAGTTTAAATGGAGGCAGGAATACCTTCAAGAGAAAAGGATTGGTTGTACACACTTCTTGACTGTGTATATTTGTTCTCTGGGAAGTTGGTTTCCTTTAAAAAAAATCTTAAAATGTCCTTTAAAAATATATTAGAAAATATTTTTGTTGGGAAGCTATGTTAAAATATATGAAATATTGAGGTAATCAACTTAAATTATTAGTTACAATCTTAATATTTATTATCACAGAAACAGAATCCAATATGCCTGGTAAAATAGAGAGGAAAACAGCATTATTTTGTTATTTCAGTCTAGGAAGCTACAAAGGAAGAAGTTAGGCCTGATAAGAACTAAAGATGAACATCAGCTCCAGAGGGGAAAAGTGCTGAAATGAACAAAAGTTTTTATCAGGTAGCGCATTAAGTTTTATGCAATAAACTAATTAACTAAAAAAAGAAAGCAATTTACACAGATGCCCCATCAAACACTACAGGGGAAGCACAGATGGGACACTATCAAGTAGCATAATGCTCTAGTACTCATTTATAAAATCTGCATAATTCTTCCAAACATCTGAAGCCCTGTAAAGAAACACATGCTGAATTAAAAAATATATATATATTGCTCTAAATTCAAGCACTCTTTTACATGCTGCAATATATTTGAGTGGGTGAAGTGCTATTTGTGGTTAGTATTTGCCTAAAAAACTAGAAATGGAAACAAATGTATACACACAGGGAATTCCCTTGAATAAACGATTTATTTGCCCTATATTACAACGTGCACTATACTTTTGGTACATTGCTTTTCCTAATTGGATCAAGATAGATTATCTTCCATAGTTGAACTATTCACTTATTCACAAAGAGGTATAAAATTCAGGAAACTTTATCTACTCTGTAGTGAAGATTTATTTTCTTCTTTTAAATTATTTTGTTTTTCAGAATTCGAAAGCTCATTTTATTCAATTCATACTGATGTTGTGGTATAATGTTTTTTGGCGCAATGTTTGGAGGAAAAGTTCTTAAATTTAATAATCACTACTAACTGCACCCATGCATTTTCCTCTAATGATATTAGCGGACAAATTTATATTGTTTGCCTTTATGCGTATCTTTTAAAAATGTGTCTTTGAAAATGACTCTAGTGCCCTGAGCAGCATGTAAAACAAACATTAAATGCCTCACTCCTCTTTCTCAGACTTACGCCTTATCATCTTTCTTGCCACGATTTTTGGTGATCCTTTTTCATTTTATTCTTTTGCTTTTTTGTTTTCTTAATGATCTAAGACAACACCAAAAAAGCAAAAATTGGGGGCAGGGCATAAAAAAGCTCCAGCAGCATTGCTTTATTTTTCCCCCAATCTCTCAGCTACCTCTATTTAAAACATACAATACGCAATCTCATTGCCTTTGACCTTATTGGTTTCCCTTTCAAATGGGCACTAATAATTAATACAGAGGCATTGAGTGATGCGAATATATTCTCCGTTGTATTGTTAAACATGCTAAATAATTTAAAATGCCAGAAGACTCTCTAATGCTTTGTGGGGGAGGTAAAAATTATACCCATTTGGAGGGGTCAGGGGGTTGGGGGGGGTCTTTGCTTTTTTGTTTCTATTGAATGCATTTCGGCTGTACAGCTGGAAAGGGCATTCCTATAGGACTTTAAAGGCAAAGTAGAAAAATGACATAAAAGCGTTGCTTGGATTTGATTGATGCACTCTCATATTTGAAGTTCACTCAGAGCTTTGTGCTAGAAGGCCTGGGTCACTCTATCCAGTGCTCTAATGAGACTGTGTGTGAACACTTCCAGCTTTGTAGGCCTTGCTTTAATCAGAGATTGGAAAACACTCCTGACTGATAGGCTCCAGAATCAGATCTAAACAGAAAATAACATGCTCGATTTGGCCTCTGAAGGTGGGTTGAGCAAATCTTTGTGATGTATTGGAACATTTGCTGAGTGCAAGTGCACGTGGGGTGGTTCCTATTTCTGTCGGCAAATACAAATTTTTCACTCAGCAGGCATAATCAGAGCTAACTCGAGAGGAGAAATAACAAAAACTCAACAGCCCTTAGCAACTCAGCATGGCATAGAGGGATTTAAGACTTTAGCATTTTATCTCCATCAGTATGAAAATGTATGAGGAAATTTGAACTTTGAAAGTGCAAATAAACACATTTAACACTTTGCAAGCCACTGATTTCACTGGGTCTTTTGCTGGGCACCTTCATTTCTTTCTTTATCATTTTCACTTAAGATTTTCAAATTTCATAAAACTTGCTTCCTAATTTGCACCATTTAACCAAGTGAGCTCATTTGGAGCTGAGGATAATGTGAGTACAAGCTCCCAATGGTTTACTAGTGCAAAACGATATTCCAAAGTTAAAAGTTTTGTGCAGAATGACAAAAGATAGTGTGCTGATAGTCAAACATTAATCTTACCTTTTATAAGACTAGAAATCCCTAATACTCACCATTCATGGAGACCTGAGTCAGAGAAACTTTTGGATCTTACTTTTTCATAATTTTAAAAATGTAATGCAATCATGAAAATAACCAGTAAAGGTTATGTAGCCAAAGGTTTATTTTCACCAGTTACACAATGCATACATACTTAGTGCCTTGTTCACACAATTTTTACATAATTTCATTACCTTAGGATTTTCTTATCTTTATTAATATCATTTTTAGAAGCAGTTGAATATCAAAATATATCATGTCACCATTTGATATTGAGCCCTATGTCATTTTATCATGTCTGAAAATAGGAGGTTCACCTTAGAATACTCTATGCCCATATTGCCCAAGCATCTATGATCCTAAAGTCCTATTAGTGGGGTAACCATGTGTTTTATCATCCAAACTTAGACTGCTTATGAACAAAATGGTACTATTATTAATAAAACCAAGAAACAGGAATAATGTTGTGAAACATACTAGAAAAGTGAGGACATATGGTATCTTACTTACAGGGAACTTTCTTTATAATATTTAAGTTGTCCTAATAAATGTTAGAATGATAATTCCTCCACAAGACAAATTTTCTGTATTATATTTTTCATAGCCAGTAGTCTCCAGTTAACTTTTTTCCTACCAGCACTCTAGAGATACTTGGCTCTATATTTTAGAAATATTTATCAATTACAATTTCAGATGTAATTGTATTTGAGAGACTTAAAAAATGTCAACAACTGGCCAACTAGCAAGTCCATGGTACACCCCACCTGCCCATATTCATCTTGATTCCTGGAAGATCTAGGGTGACACAAGTGATTCAAAGCATATTGATTTTGCTCTGACTTTAGAGCACTGAAAACATTTTTTAATTCAGAAAAGTATCTATTAGACACCCAAATCGAGAGCAGGAAATTAACAAAATTCCACACTCTCATCCTGCCCTATGCTCTACTCCTACTTTTTGCTTAAACCACTGGGATGTTTATTATGAAACCAAAGAAACTGCCAGATCAGTGGATTCTGACCTCACTTTTCTTCTCACGGAACCAAAAGCACACTGCTACCAAAACTGTAAATGTTGGGATCAAATGTTCTAGGCAAATATCTACATTCACTATTGCCTGGTTATTCTCATCTTTTCCCCAGGTTAGTTTTTCAGAATGGAGGTGAATTATTTGATGCTAACTAAATTGTTTCTCTGTCTCTGTCTCTCTTTTTCTCTCTCCAAAAATGTGTTAAAATAATAAACCTAGAATGAGGGAATGTTGTAAGCCTGTAATTCCCTTGATTTTTATAATTTCATATAAAATTTGCATAAATGTTTATATTTCATAAAATGATAGTTTGTTGAATGAGTCAGTAGATAAATAGAACCAAATTAAAAGATTAATGCACTCATTTTAATGTATACTTATTAATAATTATACAAACAACATTTCTAAATATTATAATATCTCTCCATAAAGTGCTGTTTTTGGTTTGACCCTGTCATTATTAAGACTGGGGAAAAAGTTTATTTGTAAGTTATTGGGTATTTTCTATGTAATTGATCATTTGGCAAGTATTGATGATGCTACACAGGCCATAATTTTTCTTATTTTTGGACATTTTTGTTTTATGTAATTTTATAGAAAACAGCAATTTTCTTTAAACTTGAAAATTATTAGTAAAAAGTAAAACAGTTAAGAAAAAATTATGCTCCCAGAAAAATGAGAAAAAGTGATTGAATGTCAAAGTATCATCATGGTGTTTGAGATTATGGAAAATATTTAGATAAATAAACTTCTGTTTATGACACCTTCTTCTTTATGCTATCATTTCCTTATATTTGGGTACATAGTGGATTAGCACATGTAAGTAAATTAAATGTAGCATTGAAATAATTTGGTATGATTTATATACTGCTTATATCTTTGACTACCACTTCTCCCTTTTCTCTCACATCCAAGCCAAGACTAACCTCTACCCATTCTACCTTCTAAATAGCTGTCAGATAGGGCTGCTTCTATCTATAATCACTGTCACTGTGTTAGTTTAGACTACAATAATCTCTCCTGTATGAACTCCTTACCTTAAATTTTGTCCCTCTTCATTCCCCACATGGTTGTAAGAAGAAAATTTCTGAAATGCAAATCTGGTTTGATCATTCTGCTGTTTAAAACCATTTGATAGCTCTCCATTACTTCTGGATAAAGTCAAACTCATAACATGACTAACAACTTCCTTTTATATTATGGCCTTTGGGAACCTATTACTTTCACCTCATTCCTTCTTCTTTCCTCTATTGCATTCTCACATTCATTTTTCCTTTAATAATAGTCTTTTTTTTTTCAAATCCCCTCCTCTTCCTTTCTATATAATTATTTTTTCACTCATTCAGGCCAGTTTTACCACTTATCCTGACCATCTTCCAAGATTAATGAATCTGGGTGAAGGGGTTCCTACTATATGCAATAGTAACCTTCTCTTGCTTTATCATACTTGTGGATTTGTTTACCTAAATCTCTACTATGGTATAAGCTTCATAAAATTGCTCACTTTTCTTGCCATGTTCACAAAAATAAGCCAGACTTGAATACAGCACTTGCTACATAGTAGTTGTTCAACATTTATTTATTTATTTATTGAATCAATCAATCAATGAAATACGTATTGACCTCTGTGAGAACAATTTGCTATTAAAGACATATGCATTTCCACTTTGTCAACCACATTTCCTAACACAATTCTATGTAAAGAAACAAACTCGTCATTTGATTTCAAATCTTTAGTAAATTTTTAAAAAATATTTATATTCCTTTTTTATATACTTTAAATTCTGGGATACATGTGCAGAACGTGCAGCTTTGTTACACAGGTATACATGTGCCATGGTGGTTTGCTGCACCCATCAACCCATCATCTACAGTAGGTATTTCTCCTAATGCTATCCCTTCTCTAGCCCCCACCCCGACAGACCCTAATGTGTGATGTTCCCCTCCCTGTGTCCACGTGTTCTCATTGTTCAACTCCCACTTATGGGTGAGAACATGTGGTGTTTGGATTTTTGTTGCTGTTTTAGTTTGCTGAGAATGATGGTTTCCAGCTTCATTCATGTCACTACAAAGGACATGAACTCATCCTTTTTTATGGCTGCATAGTATTCCACGGTGTATATGTGCCACATTTTCTTTATCCAGTCTATCATTCATGGGCATTTGGGTTGGTTCCAAGTCTTTGCTATTGTGAATAGTGCCGCAATAAACATACACGTGCATGTGTCTTTATAGCAGCATGATTTATAATCCTTTGGGTATATACCCAGTAATGGGATGGCTGGGTCAAATGGTATTTCTGGTTCTAGATCCTTGAGGAATCGCCACACTGTCTTCCAGAATGGTTGAACTAATTTACACTTCCACCAACAGTGTAAAAATGTTCCTATTTCTCGACATGCTCTCCAGCATCTGTTGTTTCTTGACTTTTTAATAATTGCCATTCTAACTGGTGCGAGATGGTATCTCATTGTGATTTTGATTTGCATTTCTCTAATGACCAGTGATGATGAGCTTTTTTTCATATATTTGTTGGCCACATAAGTGTCTTCTTTTGAGAAGTGTATGCTCATATCCTTCACCTACTTTTTGATGGTATTGTTTGTTTTTTCTTATAAATTTGTTTAAGTTATTTGTAGATTCTGGATATTTTCATTACTTTTCTTTATAAATACATGCTCACCTCTCTCTCTCTTTCATTTTATGTTTCAAAGTAAAATATGCCATAAGTAGGCCGCAGAAGAAAAACCCAGAAGGCTGTTTTTATGAAATGTTTGGGAATGATATTTCAAAAACCTTAAAGAAAGAACGTTGACATAAATTCTCATTCTGGATTGGTAGTCATTATCAGAGACATTTACATTAATCTATTCTTCTAAATAAAAACTGTAGGAAAATATATTACTTTTTCTTTGTCAAGTAAGCATAATACTTAGCTAATTTTCTATTAAACAATTTATAAGAACAACAATCATTTTGTGTTTTCTCTGTTTCATACTTGTAGGTGTCAAACTTACTTCTGTGTCTAAAATGATGTTTACAGACTTAACTAATGATTTGGTTGTAGTATTTTCATGTCCGCAATTTTGGCACAATAAAATTAATGGGAGAAACACAGCTCACTGCAACCTCCACCTCCCGGGTTCAAGCGATTTTCCTCCCTCAGTCTCCCGAGTAGCTGGGATTGCTGGCCCATACCACCATGCTCAACTAATTTTTGTATATTTAGTAGAGACAGGGTTTCACCATGTTGGCAAGGCCAGTCTCGAACTCCTGACCTCAAGTGATCCACCAGCCTCAATCTCCCAAAATGCTGGGATTACAGGCATGAGCTACCATGCCCAGGAGATATCGTGTTTTCTATATTAATTTTATTTTCACCTTCCAAAAATAAAATGAAAATGGAGAAATTGAAATTGAATAAGAAAAAAATCTTATCTTACTAAGCATAAAGTTAGAATAAGAGAACAATTCTAAATTTAGGTACATTTAATTTTAAAAATTAAAAGAATTTCATGTATTAAAGGAAATAATTGGTCTGAAAGAGTTCAAGCACTGCACAGGCCAAGGGACACAGGAAAAATGTGATTAATGTTAGATATAATTTCTAAGCATATTATGTTTACTCATAGGCCCTGTCCCCTTTCTCTTTCTCTTCTATTTCTGGATCTGACTTAAGGAATTGAAATGTTCCAGTACAGTTTAATTAATATTCACAGGTGATTTAGAAGTTACTTTTTTCTTTTTTTTCAGGCAGCCTTTTTTATCTTTGATGGGACCAAAATTATTAGCTAGACATTTTTAATTTATTTATTTTATTTATTTATTATTTATTTATTTATTTTTTTGAGATGGAGTCTTGCTCTGTCGCACAGGCTGGAGTCCAGTGGCGCCATCTCGTCTCACTGCAAGCTCCGCCTCCAGGGTTCACGCCATTCTCCTGCCTCAGCGTCCCCCCGCGTGGCGGCGCCCGCCACCACGCCCGGCTAATTTTTTGTATTTTTAGTAGAGATGGGGTTTCACCGTGTTAGCCAGGATGGTCTTGATATCCTGACCTCGTGATCCGCCCGCTTCGGCCTCCCAAAGTGCTGGGATGACAGGCGTGAGCCACAGCGCCCTGCCTAGCTAGACATTTTTATTGGGTGAGCAAAATGGCTCTAGTTCCAATGATACAAAGGAAACGTTACATTTACTTGGCCAGCTCCTGCTTCCTCCAAATTGCTTAACCCCAAAACTGCTTACTCAAGGCTCAAGGTATGTCTCCATTGCTTGGCCACCTACACAATTTGCAGGTACCTGTGGGCAGAGCATGAAGGATGCATTCGAGGGCCAGATCAGCAGCTTCAAAATAGATTTTTATTAGTAGTTCAACAGTTGGCTTCCATGATATAAACCCTAGAAACTTAGAATAACTACATTTAATTCATACTTCCTCTGCTCTCTTATTTAGTTAAGTAAGTAAAAACTGTCTAAGTAATTGTTGCTATCCAGGTCTGTGGGAAATGACTACTAGCTTTTGACTAACCTCTGGGGATTGCACTACTAGAATCCGAAGAAAATTCTAAAGATCTGGTCATCACAGTTCTAAAAAATCTCTTGGAAAGCAAAGACAAATCCACATTTTTATGTATTGCTGGGGAAAATTTTCATCAAACCACATTATTTTGTTCGTATAATTCAAGTAATTGTAGGTAAAGTCAGGTGGTCAGTTATCAGGCCATCTATACAGAGCTCACTTTCTAAAGTCAGGTGACTTCTTTCCACTTTTAGTAGTTGGAGCCTGACAAAGTTAAAATCACCCTAAACATATTTCTTAAAAAAGTCTTTATTTCCTCTTCTTTTTTTTTTTTTACAGAAATATGTTTTCTAATAGTACTAATAGTACATAGTTTTAAAATGCCACAGACTCTATTAATTTTTAACTAGAAGTGCAGGATGTTTCCAAAGAGCAGATTAATTGTGATTGAATTATCTTTTTTAAACCAAACATTTCTAGTAAATAATATAAACATAATAATTTGGATTTTTCATGTGGCTTAAAGAGATAGATTATTTGAAAGAAAAGTTTATATTTGGTAAAGAAGTAGGGGTGAGTGGCATCAGAGAAAATCAATGTTGTTTTTCAGTTTTTTGGTTAATCACTTTTATTGCTTTATTTCTTTTTGAAAAGTATAGTTTGTTCTTCTAAATCAATACATCCTATCTACTGTGTTGTAAGATGATACAGAAAAAAATAGCCTAATAACAAATGAAAGAACAACTTATATTTCTTATATTTTTTCTACCAAATTTATACTAAATATCTCTACTTAAATATTCTGCTGCTTTCAAGTTATGTTCTTTTTTTTTTTTAAATTTAGGCAAATTGTGGAAAGCAATTGGACTATGGTTACAAGGGATGGAAACGTATAATTGGTGTAATAGGATTCATACTTGTTAAGCTAGGGAGAAGAGAAACTGAAATAAGTTAATTCCTTTCCAAAGAAAAGGATCCCAGTGTTTTTAAACCAAGGGGAAAAAAGCAAAGGTCTGTCTAACTGCCATGTAAACTCATTTTAAATGTCATGTCTTATTACAACCTGATAATCGGAGTGCTTATTTCCCCCTTTTGCTTGAGCCATCAAATTTGTCAAAATTTTATGATAATTCATTCCATCATTCCTTAGACATTTAAATGACAGAGAGCCCTAGTCAAGGGGGGGAAAGCCTCTGTAATCTTACTCCTCATAGTATAGCTGCCTCCAGAGAGATTTTTAAAATATTCCATATCATGGTATAAGCAGCAGCTAAATTTCTCAATTTCACTGTGATTTCTTGCCGTTTTGGAAAGTGACAATAAGTTGGCTACGTACCATTCTTGACCTTTTGACTTCGGAACCACTGCTGACCAAATCCTAGCTTGCCTTGTTTAAGTCAGTAGCTCTATTATCACTCTGATCCTCTCCCAGAGGGTCTGAAGCTTTCACTCATGCTCCTGAACGGGTAAGCTCCCCCTCTAGTGTTCACTGCTCATCAGATTATTCCTCCAACAAATAAGACAGAGAACTGCCTGTTTTTTTGGTTCCCTATCGAAGGACGGAGCTTGGAACAACATTTATAACGGTTTAATGACACAAAGAGTAAAAGGTAAGTATAAATCCTACATTAAAAAAAAAGTTCCTTCCTTTTGATTCCTTTGAAAGCATTGCTACTGTTTGGTTATGAAACTAAGAAATGTTGCTTGTGCTGCCTTGCAGGCAGTATGCATGGCTGAATAGACAGGATGAGTTTGAAAGATATAAGATGATCTTGGAAAAAACAATCCTTTCTGTTGGGAAGCTGGATGTCTGGTTATGAATAAATGACTTTTCATTGGAAGCTGACACTCAGGAGCTCTTTATTTGTAGACCAATTACCAGCAGAGGAGCAGGATAGGGAGGGGGTTGTTCTAGGGAACCCCAGCATATTTTTCTTCCAGAATTTTAAAAAAGACCAGTAAAAAATGAAATGCCTTCCATTTGTTTTTACAAAGAGCCTGGGTAAACAGTCCTCTACACTAAAAGACCCTCACTATATTTGACACAGAACTACAGAAAAAAGCGCAATATATATTGGTGGTAGTTTTCAAGTGTGTTGAACTCAAAGGTTAAAAGTTCAACAACTTCATTAAATGTAGTGTTGAAGCCTTAGTGAGGCATAATCCAGAATTTATCATGCAATTGAAAGTAAGAGAAAGAAAAAAGAAAGAAAGAGCAAAAGAAGGAAAAAAATAAAACAAAAAGCTGATATAGTTCTGAGAGGTTAATCTTCACAGATGGTTACTAAACTAAAATCTAGAAGTTTTATTTATTAATTTTCAATCATGGGCATAATTTTAAACTAAAAAAAAGTGTACACCAGATTCTACAAAGAAGGCACAGATAAACTTTCTATTTAATTGTTTCAAAGTGTGTTTGAAACAATTGTGTATGTCTTGAAATAGGTCATATAATTTATTTGAAATTCAGGTTGGAAATAATATGACCACATTAAATTTCAATTGGTTTTAATCTTCTGAATTTTGGGGAATAAAATAAGCCCTCAACAAAGTTTTTCTTCATATTGATGATTCTGAAAATTAGGTTAGTTTTATTCTGGTATTCTAAGCTAACATGTCTTTCTTAATTAAAATACTAGCATTTTTAAAATGTGGTAAATAAGTATGACCACATAAACAGAAGGGAAGAACTTCCTTTTGCCGTATTGTTTTCATATTCTTTAATAATCAAAATGATCACTAGTCTCATCATTCTCACTAAGCATGTATTAAGTACCTACAAATTATACAAACCGACACCCTGTCAGAACTCAACTTACATTATTAAATGTAAAGTTTGTTATGGCATTAAAACTGAATTATTCTGTTTTGGTCTAATAAAGACCTCAAAACGTTTTCTAAAGTACAGTAACCCATTCCATAAAAATATTCATTACCTTATCATTATTTTTCTCTTTACTGGGTTAAAACTAGGTTGCTTGATATGGCAGAAGAAAAACAATGCTTTCAAGTCCTGTAATGTTAGAATACCTTAACTTTTTCCTGTTTTCAATTTTCTAGGTTCTGTGTTTTATTAAATTCCATTTTAGTGCCCTACTTTAAAGCTGACTTCAGGGTGTTGTTAAAAAGGTCATCATTCATGAACTAATGGGACCAGGTGACTAGGACCTATCTTTAATCACAAAGCAGTGGCCCCTTTGAAGGTTCAAAGGATTAATATTGCCTGCATGTCCATTCAGTTTTGAGCTTCTTGGATGACACAACAACACATAGGATGGCCATTTCTACTAGGCTGAGAGATTTCCAGGTGGACAGCTGTCTTTTCTGAACTGGACTCAGATGATACATACTTCCCCCTGAGCAGTTGTTTCACAGAAGTATCCTTCAATCACATGTCTTATGCTAAGACTCACTGTGAGACACACAGTTTGAGTTGGAGGCCAGCACAAATATGAATGTCACCTTCTTTAATTTTATTTTTTTAGAGGCTGCTCTAAATTGCTGGTTCAGGCAAAGTCTAAACCACTAGAAAAATTCTAAAGTAAATAGACTGCCATTTATAATGGAAAAATTGAATTGTATGAAACTTTCATAGCCCACGTTTCTAGTTGTACAAATTTCACATAAAACTTTCTAGTAGGAAGGAAGTCATGATTTATATCAGTTTGACTAACTTAATTGCTAAAGATTATGCAGCATTGCAAAGGACAGGTAAAGAGGCTTCTGTCAATCAAAGTGGTTATAGAAAAACACACAGAAAAAAATGACAACAACAAAAATTTAAAGCACAAAATACATTTAACTACACAGAACCCTTAAGATCTTTGTAATATAAAGTGATTTATTATAGGATTATAAAATATAAGAATGATAGGGTCTTTAGAGATGATCTCACCTACTTTTCTCATTGGTCAAGCCCCAGGCCCAGGAAAACTTGGAAAAATGGGTTGTCTGTTTAATGTCATATGGCGAAAAAATAGAGAACAAGGCATTGGATCTTGGCCTGTGGGTTTCAATTGCAGTGCACTTTATGCCAAGCGAGCTTCAGTCATGCTTTCGAGTTAAGTATGAGTGCTTTCATAGAAATAGGAAGAAAAATACATCTTTGGGAAGTTTGGAGGAGACATGAGTTATTTTAGGAGATAGCACTTTTTTTTTTTTTTTTGAGGCGGAGTCTTGCACTGTCGCCCGGGCTGGAGTGCAGTGGCGCGATCTCAGCTCACTGCAACCTCTGCCTCCCAGGTTCAAGCGATTCTCCTGCCTCAGCCTCCTGAGTAGCTGGGATTACAGGCACCCACCACCGGAGTTTCACTCTGTTGGCCAGGCTTGTCTCAAACGCTTGACCTCGTGATCCTCAGCCTCCCAAAGTGCTGCGATTACAGGTGTGAACCACCACGCCCAGCCCAAATTAATAAACACAATTTTTATATACATGTTGAAAAGTGGTCATGTGGGCTTACTTATTTTTCAGAAGAAATTATGCATTCATTGATTAATTAACAACAATTCCAATGATTATGAGACAAGAGTAGGTGGTTAATGGCTTTTAAATTATAACAGCAAGTTAAAAAAATTTTTTTTAAAGTAGGTGCACCATTTTCTTTGTTAACCCTATCATCCTAAGTGGGAAGGATAAATTAATGTCTTGCTTTATCTTTGTTACGGACTGTTTGTGCCCACCCCACCCAAATTTCATATCTTGAAATATAATCCCCAAAGTGATGCTTTTTGGAGGTAGGGCCTATGGGAGGTGATTAGGTCATGAGGGTGGAGCCCTCATGAATGGGATTAGTGCCCTTAAAAAAAGAGGCCAGAGAATTAGCGGAAGAATTTAAGGTGCAGTTGGCTTTCTGCAGCGTGGAAGATGGCCCTCACTGCCAGATGATGCTGGCACCCTGATCTCAGATTTTCAGCTTCCAGAAGTGTGAGAAATAAATGTTTGTTGTTTAAACTACTCAGCCTAGGGTAATTAGTTATAGTAACCTGAACTAACTAAGACAGCCTTTCTGAGACAGCCTCTCAAATCAATTTTCAGATTTCTAAAGTGATTAATGAGGTCATACATCCTACCAGGAAAGTTAGGTAAAGTAACCAGATTTTAATGTCTTTACAAGCTTAATTAACAAGGTTAAAATTGATCTTTTATTAATCTCACTTAGCATGTGAAAATGTACGTCTCTTTCTTTGATCTCAGTTGAAATTTTCTGTATTCACCATTTATTCTATCATGTTCCTAACTGTATATCTGTGATCTAATTAAATATTAATCCAATCTATACACATAGATAAAAACCCTGAAACTATATATATTCACATATAAACAGTAGTTTTACCTTGGTAGAGTGAAATTATACGTGTTTTATTTCTAATTTTTTTGCAATAAACATGTATTTATATCCTAATGTTAAATAATCTTTCTCATATAATGTCATCGAAAAAAGAAACTGACATCTAGTGAAAAGGACAGAAAGAACTAAAAATACATTGTTCATGTTTTTAGTAGTCTCTACCTGTTTTCCCACAAAGTGGGAAGTTAACAATGTATTGTTTTCAAGTATGTATTGAGTGCCTATATGCATCTGGCACTGTTGCAGAGTTTAGGATATGTCAGTGAACAAAACAAGTGAGAACACTGCTTTCTTAGAGCTTAAATTCTAGTGAGAATCAATTAGAAAACATTAGGAAAACAATGAAGTTTATAAAGGTAAGGCTATAAAATTTGTCCATGAGGAGATTGTGGTCAATTGTGTGTGGCAGCAAGGGAAGTCATAAAAATAGGAAAATGTGGAGGAATATTGAATCTCCTTTGAGTACAATTTTGGTGGCTACGTTGATAACAGTTTATATAGGAAAAAGTCTGAATTTAGCCCAAGGAAACTGGTCATAAGGAATACAGATGACACTTTTGCGGGTTTGAAATCGTTAAGGAAATAAAGAGGAAAATCCTTACCTGTAGGGAGCAGAGGCTTCAAAATATGGTTCATTGATCTCATTGTGCTGCTGAAATATTTACGTGAACTAAATACGAAACAAGAGTATTATTTGCATTTACACTTAAAGTTCGGGAGTTGCAGGTAGTTCTTTAGTATAGGAGCAAAGAATACATACGTTAATCGTGAATTAAATTGCTTGAATCAACATTAATTCATGGAAAGTATTAGTCCACATGATAAAAGCATTATTGTAAGCATGTTGGAATTTCATCATTTTGAACATCCTGCCTTACTTCTCTTTACTTTTTAAAAATTCAATTCATTAATTGTCTCCATTTGGAGACTTACTTTGATTCTTTTTCTTCCCTTGCTCCAATCTCTGTTAGGAGCATAATTCTGTGCTACATTTAGTTAGATGCTAGTCCTTCACACATTCTGATTCAATTGTAAGTTTTCTTATCCTATTTTGCCAGAGAATGCTGAAGAGCAATGATTACACCTTTTTCTTTTCTGCATCTACATCTCTATTCTCAGTGCCATAACCTTCCACTCATGAATAAATAAAATCATTGTTGTAAAGATGGAATGAAAGAAAACTTGAGCTTCCTAGTCTTCATTCTACAGCTTGATCATTATTTTACAGATATAGCAATAAATTTTCCATGATAGTAAACATTTTTTCAAGGCGAAAAGATGTATTCTAAATTAGAGCCACATATGGAAATGAGGACTCTTGCCTGCAACTCTAAACTCATGCAATTGTAAAATCCCTTTGGTCTAGAATGCCAGTATCATATCTGTTTTAGAAAGTGTCTCTCCAAAAGAGATATGATATTGGCATTTTCTAGCAAAGCAGTTTTACAATTGCATAAGTTTAGAGTTGGAGGAGGCAAGAATCCTAATTTCCATATGTGGCTCTAATTTAGAATACATCTTTTCGCCTTGAAAAAATTATCTCTCCAGCCGGGCGCGGAGGCTCATGCCTGTAATCACAGCAGCTTGGGAGGCCAAGGAGGGCAGATCACAAGGTCAGGAGTTCAAGATCAGCCTGGCCAACATAGTGAAACCCCGTCTCTACTAAAAATACAAAAATTAGCTGGGCATGGTGGCGTGCTCCTGTAATCCCAGCTACTCAGGACGCTGAGGCAGGAGAATTCCTTGAACCCGGGAGATGGAGTTTGCAGTGAGCTGAGATGGCGCCACTGCACTCCAGCCTGGGCAACAGTGCGAGACTCTCTCTCAAAAAAAAAAAAAGTGTCTCTCCAAATACTATATGATACTAACTAAAGCATCTAAATCTTACTATATTTTCTGTGCTGTATTACCAGTTCATGTCATTCATTCCTATTTGAGGAACATCATGATAACGCAATAGTTGCCAAACTTTCTTCTCTTCATCAAACTTACATACTAGGATAGAGGCAGGTGATAATAAAAAGAATGTGGTATAAATGCACTGAAAGAAAAGAATAACAGAATATTGGAAGTAGAGAATGCTAGAAAAGGTCAACCCTTGAAGACTTCTTTATGTCATCTGTAAGTTTGACTGTGGTAGTTTGCCACCAAAGCTCTGTCTTTGCTTATGTAAAGTTATTCCCAACAGGCAACAGTGTGCCAAATTTTCTACCTTAATTCTTTACAGAGGTTCAACCCAAGGATATCATGGTTAAAGTTCCAGTGTGTCTTCAAGTGTGTGTTAATGTGTCTCACATTGAAGCTGCTTGAGTATTCTGCTGTATGTATCCAAACATATTCAGGTCAATGTGATATGTATTAAAAATATTACTGTAATATAAGGTTTTTGTGGGGGAATGCCCAGATAATACTATTAGATACTTTGATTAACAAAGGATATGATGAAGAAAAAATAAAAGGGGTTATAGGAGGTCCCCAAAAATTATTAGAAAAAAATAGGGCAAATGATCTGTTACAAAATTTACGTTTCCCGCTAGGTATCAGGTAAACTGGCCACACTGAAAACATTATATTATGTACAAACCTGACCTATTGTAAAGGATGCAAAGCGATACTGGTTGCAAATTAGGCATTCTATTTCCAATAAATTCTATAAACCTTAATGAGGAAATGTAGTCAATGTCATTTAAGTAAGAATTAAAAAAGAGAACCAACCATGACACAATTATAGACGCATGGCATTTCAGAGAAGAAATGAATCTTATAAGGACATTTAGGTAACTTTACAGATGAAACCAAATGTAAGGGGCTGTTGAGTACAGATCACCTTGGCAGAGAGAAGATCTGGATAATATTTTCTCTATTCAGATTTTAATATAAACTTAGCTCCCTTGTTTATTTCTCTCATACCTCTATCACTATATGAATGTGAACTTCTAGGTTGCTCTCACATACCTCTGAATCACTGTTTAGCACAGAGTCTGGCATAATAATTCTATTACGTATGCTTGCTTGCTGCCTTACTTGCTAAATAAATGAGTGAATGAATGATGAATGAATATATGGCAGACTCTATGCAGACTATGGTAAGTCATGGAACTAAACACAGAGCATCTGACAAAACGACTCAACTTTTGGGAAAAAAAATCTCTCTCAAACGTCTATGGAAAAATAAAAAGAATCACAAGTTCAATCTCAATTCTAAGTAAACATAAAGTCAAAATTATTGAATGCAAAGCATGTACCAAACCGTTTTACTTGTGTTAAGTTGATTCCCATAACAATCCCCCAAAACAGATATTATCCTTAATGAGAAGAAAAAGTAACTGAGCCTAGGGGAAATTAAATAAATTGCCCAAAGTGACATAGCTAAAACAAAAGAGCTAGATTTGAATGCAACCCTAGCTGACTGCAGAGCCCATGCCCTTTCTACTCTACCATTCTTCCTGCTATTGAAGCATGATTTGGAAAAGTGGTGTT
The DNA here is from genome assembly GCF_000001405.40 of Homo sapiens. NCBI lineage: Eukaryota > Metazoa > Chordata > Mammalia > Primates > Hominidae > Homo > Homo sapiens. The sequence continues at coordinate 92,680,901 of NC_000005.10, read as the reverse complement.
TGGAAATGCAAGATGTTGTGATATTATTAACACAGAATTTGTAACAACTATGGCAACAAACACTGAACATAATTTAACCTGTACTCTAGACTTTAGGGTAACACTTTAAAAATGTTGAGAGAAAAAGAGTCTTGATTCCATGGCCATTCATTTTAAAATGGAAGATGGATTCAGTGCTATAAAGACTCTGAAATATGAAATTAAGAGTAACATCACTGAACTGGCTTCTTCTAAATATCCTGGCTTTATCACTTACTGAAGGTATGATCTTGGGGACATGATCTCTCTGTACCTCATTTTTCTCATTTGTAAAATGGTGATAACAGCAATACTTTTTCTTGTATGTCAACTGGAGGATTACGTGAGATGCAATTGTAAAGAAATGCATATTTAGAATAGTGGTAGACACACAGGAAACATTTAGTGAATGGTAGCTATAATACTGAAGATGAAGAAATGCAAGGAACCAAAGGGTTCCTTCATAAAAAAGAATCAGTCGAGTAACATAGGAGAAAAAGGGGCAAGTCAAGACAGCATGGGCCAAAGGCCAGTAGACCCAATTGGCACCAAAAATTCTCTTTAAGGTGAGGGTTGAAGTAGCGTTCAAAATCTCTTCAGAATAAAGTTTACCTGGAAAAGGTGAGTACAATTTGGCATGGGTCTGCATAACATAAGTGGTATGGTCTGCCTGGCCATACCTTTTCAGTGAAAGAAAATATCAGGAATCAAAAAGAAGTTAAAGTATGAGAAAAACTGACTAAAATGTACAGAATTAAATAGAACAAAATGTAAAAGTCCAAATTTAGGCTCAAAAAGTCAAAATAATCTGGAAAAATTCAGCATTAGTTTGTGAACAAATTTATTTAATAGTTAATTATAAAATATCTTAAACTCCTTTATATAATTATCAGTATATTGTATATTTATTTACCTATTTATCTACATGTGTATGGCATCTCTTCCCTTACTCGGATGTACGTTTCTATATAGCAGGGAGCTCATGTGTCTTGTCCACAGCTTCCCACAATGTGATTCTCACGATGGCTGGTACATTGCAGTTACTCCATACATATTTTTCAGCAAATATGTTGATTTTTAAAATAAATCCCCTTTAGTTAACTTTTGTGGAGTATATTAGTTAATCTGTCTTAGCTGCTGAGTGCTTATCTTCAAAATTGTTATAATTAATGAGACAATATATGTAAAGTGCTTGGCCTGATGCCTGGCATTTTGCAGCTTTTCATAAATGTTAATTCTACTCTTCCTGCTCAGTTCTTCTGTGTAGAGGATAAATTCCACAGATGGTAGAGGTGTTTCCTGGTATGGAATGACACAAGACTGATCTTTAGATAGCATGCTTCAACAGATTGTCCAATCTTTTACATATTTTATCTCTTACAGAAACTCCTAAATTATTGGTACAATGAAAGTTTATGCTTACCCCATATCTAGTAAAATATTAATAAAATTCAAAGAAATTTAATTTTATGAAATTTCATAAACACTATTGATCTTTATTATATTATATAAATATCATATCATCTCTGTTTTCAAAAGACTATATGACTGAGCTGAGTGAACTTAGATTAAATAGCCATATTACAAGGAATATGGAGAAACCATTTTTTCAGTATAAATTTTTTAAGTAAAATTAACATTGAACTCTTGGAGACATCAGTTTTAATACTAATAATTGTATACTTAGAGTTTCTTGTAGTTAGACAAAAGCACTGCACAGCAGTAGAACAAAGCACAAAGGGTTATTTCACTGTTTTTATTTTTTATACATTAACTCCAAATGAAGACAATTATATTTGAGATGTGCATTTAAGAATCGGGTGAATCATAAGGTCAGATGATCTTTAAACTAAAATCAAATGACCATTGAAATCTCTTACAAAAGACATTTGGCTTAGGAAAATTGTTTTCTTTTACTTGAGAGTTGGCATTTCTACATTTGCTGCTTTAAAATTACTTCTAAAGATTACATTTGTATTACAATGGAATTGTTGTGCAAATCTGGCTTAATACATAAAATGAACGCTATTATAGTGTCCCTGATCATTCCATCATGATCCATGGAGTTCTGACCATTCTCACAGGTCTCTGTACAGTCTGCCCTCTGGTGCCCTAGGCCTGTGCTGCCAGTCGCATTCTCCAGCTCATCAACTCTGAAATAAAAAGCAAGTTCTTAGCTCAAAAGGAGACTTGATAGAAGTAGCCTGAATTCAATTTCAGAAAATCAAATACTGTCAAAGACTGATTTTGAAAGAAGGTTTTCTACCATTAAACAAGAAGCAAAAAACAAAACAAAACAAAAAACTCTCTTAAAATGCCAGTTGAGCATAGCTCTAATTATCAGGAAAAAGGTATAATATGAAGGAAACATTTTCAGCATACTATGGTTGACATTCTGCAAGGATTATAAATTGATTTTAGATTTTTGGAAACTATAAGTTTCTATTGGGAAAATGATCTATACGTGGAATGCAGTTATTAATGAAAGTCATCTTCATTATTTCACATATTCCTTTCTAGGAAAATAAGTTATCACCAAGTTATTTTTTCTTCTCACAGTATCTTTAAAAGTTAAGCAGAGATTCAGATAAAGTCTACTTACTGACCCTTACATGCAACATTTCTTTTTTAAGTTTGGTGTCCCAAAATCTTCTATAAATAAGATTGGAAATACATTTGAGGAAAGGAAAAGCATATACTAAAACTTTAAAATACAGTTAAGAGTTTATAAGTCACATGATGAAAATTTATTTTATTAATTTTAAAAAGCTGCTAGTCTTTATGGAAAACATATTTATATTCTAAAAATTGATTTCTAAAATATAATAAATATACAGTCTTATATTAACCTGCAATGATAACATTCAGGCTACTTAATAATTAATTGTAATCAATTGAAAAAGATCACTAAATTTGGAATCCACCAGTTGAAAAGGGGATAACAGCAAACATTTTTGTGGCATTAACAGTTTATAATAAATGACTTTCACACATATAATATTATTTATATGAATAGCGCTCTTTGAAATGCATAGCAAAGTTTTTATCTTGTAGGGGAATAGTCAGCATTTAAAAAAACAAGCACTGGAGAAACTATAAATCTGAAAATTTTGCATTAATTAAAGTATTATGAATTCATTTGTTAAAGGGAAAGTAGAGTTACAGCTGATTTTAATGATGAGCTATATTGAATTGCTTGCACAATAGCACACATGTCTTTGATGATACCAACCTCAGAAATAGATCATTTTAAGCAGCAAAGGCAGCAATTATAGAAGTATGTCAGGTTACAAAAACTGAGTAATTAGACAAGAATTTATCAGGGCATGATTCAATGTAGGTATGGTTTTTTTAATATTAATTTCTGTTATATCTTTTTATAATAAAATATTTTAATCTCTCTCAAGATCTCTCTAGTTTAACTAAATCCTCCCACCAGATATGCAAAATAAAACCATGCTAGTCATTTTGGAATTGTGAAAAAAAAAGGAGGTAATAGCGTGTTGTGTTCAACTCTACTGCTCCAATTCATTTCAATGAGAATCAGTCAATAAAAAGTCCCTGTTTCAGCAAAGGCGGGAGAAGAAACAAAAGGACTTAATGAAATGATCTGTTTACAAAATGCTAAGTGAGGGTTCTATGAGAAAACAGCATTAAATCCAATTTTGGTTTCCTAATGCAATTTAGGAAGTCTTATATGCTCCCAGTTTTTGCTTGTCTTTTTTTTCTTTTTGTGAATGGACTGAGGCATGTGGTCTTTTTTCTTTCCTTAACATTAATTTTTTTAAAGCTATTTAACTTTCTTTCTCTTCAACTTTGCTACAGTATTTCTAAGTAGCCCAGAAAAGATAAATCAATGCCTGAACTGTAACCTTACACTTATATACTTGTTAAATGACTTTTTTTTACAGTCTGTTATTGCTAGAAATTGGATTGCTTTTAAACTAATGCTGTCTGGCGGGCAAAAGTGAGTGAAACCGCAAAGCCTGGAGGAACACTAATTACTTGTTTTAATTAGCAGCAACTTTCACTAGAGTATAATCTCCCTACAGGCCACTTTTCGGTAGGTGTAGAAAAAAATCATGTAGGAACAAACTGATAATCTCTTACTTGCCCCTAAATGAGAGCAGAACTCTGATTCTAGTATAGACATATCATTTGTACAAGCCTCTAAACCCTCAGGAAACAGGGCTTACCAGGCTAGGCTACCCAATTCAAAGATCTTTAGCAATCAGTTGTACAATAGAGCCCTTATTTTATGCTGCTACATCATAAAAGTGGTCCTTTTGTTACATTTCCATCCTTAAAAGGGTCTTAATCCCTTTCTTTTCAGACCAGTCTATGGCAAATTCCACTGGGACATCCCATTCGCCACAAGGACTGAAATGACCCACTCCGAAAGCAGCATGTGAAGCTTTGAGTCTTTCTTCCCTCCGCCACTCTCCAGAGAACATTAAATCGTACTTTTCATTCCCCTCACCATAGGGGGAACCCCCTTAATGATGACAGAGAAAGAAAAATTCCATCACACTGTCCTATGATACCATTCTGCTGTCAAGCAGGCGTTTCCCTGGTCAGAGAATCAAACATGGCTTCCAGCAGGTGGATGTTGCTGAAGGTCACAGACAGCAAAATGCAGAGGTTACACATGGAGGAAGCACAGGTTCCCACAGCAAATTAAGTCATCTGTGAAGCCTTCTCATTTCCCAGCGACTAAATTTATGACTGCTTTTAAGGGTCATCATCGCTTGCATGCACTTGCACTTTATTTAAAGTATTTGAGATTTTGGAAAAGCAGGGTTGTCCCAATTAAAAATACATACATGAGCTACATGTTTAAAGAAAATGGGGAAATTTAAAAATGTGTTTATGTAACTCTTTTAGTAATTTTAAAAGTGTAAATAGTAGATTGAACATGAGCATGTTTCTTTTTTTTTAGAAAATCTTTAATAATGATTTATTATTTCTTGTTTTTAATTATACTTTAAGTTCTAGGGTACATGTGCACAATGTGCAGGTTTGTTACATATGTATACATGTGCCATGTTGGTGTGCTGCACCCATTAACTCGTCATTTATATGAGGTATATATCCTAATGCTATCCCTCCCCCAACCCCACGACAGGCCCCGGTGTGTCATGTTCCCTTCTAAAGTGAAGGTGGTAGTCTGGGAAACAGTAACATTTCCCCTTGATATGAAAAAATTATTTTAACTTTTTACATCAAAGGGCCTGAAAAAAATCCACAGCATTAAATTTGTATAATGCTGTTATAAATCTTGATTACTATGATATGGATTCCTATAAGGCTTGAAATATGCCTTTTATTAAAACAAATTTAAACTAGCAAGTTTTTTATAAAATAAAAATATGGAATAGTAAGTCAGTAATTTTTACTAGATTCAATGACCTGTAATTTAATCCAAATTAAAAATAAAGTTTTCTTATAGGTTTTACCACTATTTAGTTTTCTTATTATTTAATATGTATTTTAAATTATACTGTAGTTTCTTCTCAAATGTTGAGAGTGAATAGAATCTATTCGTTTATATAAATGTCTCAGATAATTGTGTAATAAATCTTTGCAAATGTTGACATTTCCAACTGTAAATGGCAATAGCATTGTAAATATTTTTTTGACCAGATTATGATGATATTTTTCAAAAAATTAGAAGTTCATTGTTTTATTGGTTCTTTTTTAATTAATAACTTAGAAGAAGCTTTAATTTAAAAGCCACACCCCACTCATTTTCAGATATAACTTTATATATAAACCACATATTCTAGGAAAATATCATATGTACAAATAATTCTATAGGGTAATATCATATACACACATTCATTTATTTCACATTCAAAGATTTAAAAATTTTGAAATTACAAAAACAAAAACCTAAAAATCAAGCTCAAAACCAAACATAGCAATTTTATAACACAATAAATATTGACTCTACCATTCTTAATATTACTCAGGTGGTAATATTTGCCCATATGTGATTATTTGGAACGTTAAGATGAAAGAATCCTCTAAATGCTTATACTATAACTTTAACTTGTTATTACAGTATATTTCTCTCCAAGAGCTTTATTTTAGCTTGCACAAAGGTGCATTTGGTTATTGTTTTATAAAAAGTGAAAAATTCATAAAGCATTTATACAAAATTATTGAATCTGTGTCTTGAGATTTGTTTTCTTCTATGGCAGCCTTTGTGGATAGCTTGTGTTTGGGGTCCAGCCTGCTGGAGGGATAGAAATGCAATGCATGAGATAGCAAAAAGAGGCCTGAATCAGAAAAAGTAAACATCTAGAATAAAGGACAGTTGAAAGGGGCTTTGTGAACAAGGGGTGTTGCAGTAGAGAATGGGTTAGGGTGAGGCTGCCCCGGTTCTTTGTTCCTCTTCACAGCGGTGGCTCTGAGGGACATGCATTGTCCCCTGAATGAACTGACCATCTCTCAAACAGCCTAATAGCCACCCCTGTAAGCACATTTAAACTATCAAGCCTAAATATTTAGAGTTATTTAGGGCTCTTTTTTCATTAATTAGTGGCTACCTACCTACCATTCCTTGATTTTTCTGTACATTCCCTTTCCCTAGTGCTTTCTACAAGAAGCATTCTGAAATCCAAGACTAAATACTATGGCTGAAACTTGATTCTGTTTAATTAAGTCTGAAGAAAAACTGTTTATTTTATAAGACTCACGCTGTATAGAGAACATGTGCATCACGTGAGATGCAAACTCAAACACAGTTTACTCCGACTTTAAGATTCTAGGCAGAATATCTTTTTTGCGTATCATTTTGTTTTCCTTGCTCTTATGTGGAAAAAGAAAACCCAGGTCTGAAGAGGTATCGTTCAGAATCTATACACTACAGGAGGAGAAAAAACTTTACCAAATGCGGGTTGGAAAGAGGAACTATTAAAAAAAAAGAAGTAAAAAACCATAATTTTTTTCCCCACTAAATATCAAGGTATGTGTGTTTTATAATCTTCAAGATTCTCTAGGTAGATGTCTTGATGGGAAATAAAACTTGAATGTCCATGAGGGATTCAACCACAGTTTCAAAGTGTCATTTAAATTCCATTATTAACTTTTTCAGTGTTGTGAGTGGTGATTAGCCTCTTAGGGAAACGCTATTAATACAATGAGTAGATTTAATTACTGAAAATCCAAGTGTAGAATATAAGCATATTTTTATCATTATTTATATTACTATATGTTAATACATGTGTTATATAGCTTACAGCTTATTTGATAAGGCCTTATAGAAATGGTAGATTTTTCTTCTGAGATAACAAGTGATAAATCTTAAAAAGATTTTAGTCATTGACTTCTAAAGCAAACACTTAACTCTGACACAAAGCACCTTTCCCAATTATGCATTTGGCAAGACTATGAAAGTGCAGGTATACTTACTATATTTTAGCAATTTAATTATTTTGCCTTTGAAGAGCATTTGCTTTTGACTTTAAAATATAATTGCCAAAACAAAGGTAATTTTACACTTGGAAAGATGTGTTAATACAAATAAATATTTTAATTATAAAATAATTTTATCAATATATAATATGGATTCTGATTACACAACTGTGTTCAAATTATAAAAATTAGTCTATGTGACATTTATTATTTGTGCCTTTTTCAGTATGTATGTTTTATTTTAATGAATGTCCTATTCAAAATTGTATAGAATTCCCAGAAACACAGAATTTCAGAAATTACTTGGAAAATTATTTATATAGATTTCCCAAAAGGTTATTAGTTTTGAATGGATAACTTTATATTCAGATCTCATCCTGACAAGGTGGAAACATTTGACCACTCCTTTAAGCATCTTTAAAAAGGGTATAAATGATAAACATGAAAAAACTCTGTAAACCAAATGCAAATTGTAATTATAAAGTATTGTTAAAATGTTATAGGGGATAGTAAGTTGCATGAGACAAGATTGCTGACTTCTAAGATCTCAAAATACAGAAAAAAGTCAGGCATATTCATATCCAAGTGTGCCAATTGTTCTGATTGAAATACAAAGAACCATGAGGTTTATTTGATAAACGCTTACCATGTGCCAGTTATTGCTCTAAGAGTCTGTTTGAAGACAAGGTCTCGTAGTAGCATGATCATAGTTCACTGTGGCCTCAAATGCCTGGGCTCAAGTGATTCTCCTACCTCAGCCTCCTGAGTTGCTGAGACTACAGGTGCAAGCCACCACACCTGGCTAATTTGTTTTATTTTCTGGAGACAATCTCACTATGTTGCACAGGCTGATCTCAAACTCCTGGTATTGCTGTTATAAATATACTCTGTAGTTCACAAAAATCTGTTCAACTGATGGTTCAGATTTCTGAGCTAAACTTATGGATCATATTTGCTGTGTTTTATGTTTTATGAAGTACTCATTATTTTCACTTTTATCTCTTGGTTCTTAAAAAAAACTTTAAAAAGAAGTATTCATTATTGAATATCCATTTATTGAGTGTGTATTCTGCCACATCAAAAACTTGCACTATGATTATTAGGCACACACAGTCTAGCAGAAAAAATATGGAATCGTTGAATATATGATGATAAATCATATAGTAAATATGCTTTCATAGTATTCTAGGAGAAGAATGGAAAGGTAGATTTGTTCTGACTAACAGATTTAGGAAAGACTTCAAATTAAAAGTGTTACTATTTAATCTGAATTGATGATTAATTTAGATTACAAGATTGACATTTAATCTGGAATCTAAAAATGAATAAGATTTTATGAGTAGACAAGAGAGGGAAAGAGATGCTCTTTCTTGAATGTTCTGGATATCCATGTAAAGCTGTATTTACACTCTGTGGAATATGTTTTTCTTTCTTGAACTGTAACTGTTATGGGACAATTTCCCATTATTCTTATATACCCCTTAGGAGTAAGGCTATGATTTCCAATTCTCTTTTATCCAGAGCTCAATTAGCATAGCATTTGAGAATGTGAATACTATTGAGGTTTTAATACCTGGTTGCAAATTCTTTGACACTTTTCAATGGAGAGGTAGGGTCAATTCCCCTCCGTTTCAATCTGGCTGGGTTTTCAACTACTATGAACAATTGAGTATGCTAGAAATGACACTTAGGACTTCCAAAGCTAGTTTACAACAGGCCATGATGCTTCTGTCCTGTTTGCTGGAACACTTGTTCTTGGATCCTTGAGCTGCCATATAAAAAGCCTGACCAACCAGAGGCCTCTGTGTTAAAGAGGATCCAGTGACCAAGCCCAGCTGAGCCTTGTCCTCCATCTTCTATTCCCAATCTAGGTGCTGCAGCCCATCCATCTGCTGAATGTTGCCAAGTAACAGCCATCCATGGAACATGGAAAAATGAATTCACCCGGCCAGGCCCAAATTGTCGACCCACAGAACATGAGGTATAATAAAGTAGTTGTTGTTTTCAGCCACTAATTTATGAGATAATTTATTACATAACAATACAGAGCTGGAAAAAAACTAGAACAAATATGTTCAATTTTTTTTTTACGTATATTAAAATGCTTGACTTTTCAGATCCAATTATAATCTTATCCTTCTCATTCCTTCTCTAGATTTGTTGAATGAGTGAATATAAGATTGAATTAATAGTACAAGCTTTTACATTAAATAAGCAAGCAAAATAAATATATTATAATAAAATTTGATAAATACTATGAAGTAACCTAAAAGAGTGTTATGAAACACAAATACTAGAAGAATCTAGTGCTCAGGGAAGATTTCTCTTCAGAAGTGAAATTTAAGCCAGACCTGAAAGATGGGAAGGAACAGGCAAGGGAAGATTGAAAGAGTGAACTTTCCAAGAAAAAGGAGCAGATATGTGACAAGTCCCCAAATGAAAAGAGCTTGGAAACTCTAGAATTCATAGGAAAATGAAACAAAACAACCACTACAACTAAAGCAAAATAAGAAAATGAGAGAACAACTCAAAGCAAATTTGGAGATACGGCTCAAGAGCCATATTAAACAGAAAAATTCCTTTTAAAGAGTTTAGATTTAATTCCAAATTCAAAGGGAAACTACATAGATATTTTATAGGAATTAGTCATTATTATTTCTATTTATACATAAAATATTCATCAGGTCTCGTTCTACTAAAATATTATATTTATGAGAGTAATACAGCAGATTAACTTTTATTTTAATCTTTATTTCTTTGTGGGAATTAACTTTGAATTTTTACTTGCAAAACCAAAAGCATGTTCTCAGCAGGAAAAATAGTGACATTCTTTTTTTACAACTTGTCTCCAAATAGTAACTCTCCAAAGAAGTATCTATAAGCTACAGTGGAATGAAGAGTTAAGTGGAGAAAGGAAAAAGGCTCAAGTAGAATACAGAGTTGAAGTTCTGTTTGTTCCCAACATTGAAAAAAAAGTACATTTCCAACTGTCGTAGTAAAGACTAAAACAGTATTTCTCATGGCAGTTGTAAGGCTTAAGTAAAATAATCCATATGCTTCATTCATGACATGGTGTGTCATATAGTGCAGTTTCAATAAGTGTTATTATTGTTATATTGTTATATATGTAAAAATTTAGCTAGGTGACTTTTTTCCTGAAATGATATTAAGGATGCTTGCAAGTTGGACTTTCACAAGTTGAGTAGTCTTTGTCAGTAGCACCCATTTATTTAGAGAGGCGAACTCTTCTAAATTACATGGAATACACCTGGCAACCACTGAATAGAACCCTTGTGTTGAAAACAAGCTAATTAACCAAACTATAAGCCATGATATAATAAAAAACTATTCCTTAAAATAGGAAGTTTAAAACATTTCTCTTATAGCTCATAGTACAGTGATACCAATATTACTTGGGATTGCGTCACACAAACCTGGATATTTAATATAATCAAAAAAGACTGAAGTGGTATGGGCTTTTTCTTCTTTATTTTCCCACTTGAACGTGCCACAGGTATTTGAATTTGGCCACTTTTCTTTCTCACTCTCTTCTCCCATCTGCAAGCAGATGCAGAAGCTCTAACCAAGGATTCCTAGAGAGAAAGAGTAGAGCCATGAGACGAAGGGAGCCTGGGTCCCTAAATCACCATGTCGGAGCTCTTCAGCGAAAAGCTGACGCTGAGCTGCTACGTGAGCAAGAGACACCTTGCCCAGTAAGACATTTATTGAGCTTTTTAGATTGTGTTTTACCAGTTGGATAACATAATTAATATGATCACATATTCTCCATCCACTGCAAAAAAAGTCTCTATTCTCTTAAAAAATAAGCATGTTATTTAAAAAATAAGTCACTGAAAATTACCATCTTTTTCTCTAAAGAAATTCTGCTCCTTAGTTGCTTCTTTCTTTCTTTTAAAAGTAAGGCCATTTTCCCAGTGTCTCAGCCTCGAAGTCTTGGTGCTGGTTGTCACTGGCTCCATCTTGCCCCTCATCTGTAGTCAGCTACCATCTTCAGTAAAGCCTGAATTCTCAATGATCCTCACATCTAGCCCTTCCAGCTGACTTAGCAGTTTAGACTTTTAGCACCTTTCAATGATCATTATGTCAGAAATCTAACCCCAATTTACTTGGCTCTCAATCCATACTCAGAATTGTGCCAAGAAATATATCAGTCAGAGTCCAGCCAGGAGATGAAAACCATACCTGTAATTTGAACAGGGTATATATAAAATAAAGAATTTGTTAACTAATAAATGCGATTAAAAAAGGACTCCACGTCAAGTGAAACAGTAAATGCAGAAAGCAGCTACTATATCTAAGGCTAAGGGAGAGGGAACAAGAAGAAACTAAGAATGAACTTAAAAGAGGAATTCTCTCTTAATGCCAAGACTCAGACCTTATGGGAGAAAGTATGACTGCCACAGAAACAAATGGCTTGCTGATGGTTAAGAAACTTGCTGAAGAAAAAAGTGATCCATAGAGGGGTTGAGAAACCTGTGGGGCAGTGTGTCACTCAGCATTAGGAATGTCCCATTTAGTGACTGAGAGACTTGCTGGAGGGCACAGGCCGACCTGTTCCCTACAATAGGCTTACCAAGTGGCCAAGAAAACGGTCGGAGGATATAGGTGGGCTGGTCCCTGAGGAAAGTCTATTTCTAATATTTGCTTATGTTCCTGCAGAGCTCTCTACTAGAAGGTCTAACATTGAGTCACTGGGCAAAGGAGAAAGGTTGACATGGTCCGGCTATATTTAGTATTACAAAGCAGGGAAAGAAAAATAGATTTGGAACTGAGAAAGAATAACATAATAAGTAGCACAGAAAATGAGAGAACAGCAAAGTCTCCATTTTCCATTAGCTCAGAATCAACTTGAACTGAGATTAAAAAGTAAATATTTGTAATAGATTTAGGTAAGTGCTATGATGGAGTATACAAAATGTTCATAGGAATATAGAGATATACATAATTCAGGTTAAAGAAATAAAAGAATGATTGTGGAAGAGCCAACGCTGAGTTTCAAAGAGTGAGTAGGCATTAGCTAGATGGGAAAGGAATCATGAGGAGAAAGCTTTTCAGATAGAGGAAACAGGAAAGGCAAAGGTTAAGACTGGGCCAGAGCATTGCTCATATGTGAATTGCAAGTTACATAAATTGCAAAATATGGCCAAAAAAAAAAAAAGATCTTAGTAGGTAAGCATGGGCTAGATCACTTATTTGTCCTGGTTTGAAAAGGTTGTTCTAAGAAGTTTGAATTTTATCCTGAAGACATTGGAGAGCAAATTAAGGATTAGAAAGTTAGTAGAGGAGAGTCAAGATCAGAATTACCATACTGAAAATCCATTGGCTGTGTGAATTCAGTGTCATTTTAGAAGGACTGATCTCTCTGTTTGCTGGTGAAGCCCAAATACTAATACCTTCACCTGGCACATAGCTCAAAATAGAAGCTCAGAAACTATTTGTGGAATAAGTGAATAAATGAGAGTTTATTTTAAAGATGGTGACTAACTCTACTTGAGTTAGAGGTGTTTGAATATTCAATTGTGGAAGTTTAAGAGCCGGGTGAAGGCAAATCTCTAGGTCAAAAGAGCATTCTGCAAAGTTATTTAGTGTTGGGAATTGCCAAGATATAGACAGGATTTGAAGCCTTGATTCAGATAAGTTTATGTAAAGGGAGTGTAAATGGAATGTTATAAAAGGAGGCTAATGAAGAACTTTGGAGACATCAATAATTAAACAGGAGTAGAGAAAAAGGTGTCAGAAATAAGACTGAAAAATAACCGAAGATTTTTGACAAGAACTTGAGAGAGAGGTAACTTGAAGAAAAAAGAAGAGAATGGGAACTTCATCAAAAAAGAAGTAATGGTCAATAGCTTCAAATGCAGCTGAGGAGTCAAGTAAGAGAAAAATGCAATTTGAATGCATTTTTAATTGGCTTTCTCTTCCTAAACCTATGATATAACCCCCATGTTTCTCTGTCGAGTTTTATTAAAGTCTAGCTCTAATCATTTAACTCCCTCTTTAAAAACCTTCACCAATTCCCCTCAAATCAATTGCCCTGAAGTCCCTTTCAAGAACAATCAACTAGTGCCTATCCTCAAGACTGGTGTGACCTCTCCATGCTTTGAATCCCATTGCATTTCACTGGGATTTATTACATTCAGCTTTTTGTATTAATACATGTGCATTTTTCTTATCACGTCGATAATCTCTCTCAACTGGGCTATAAGTTTTCTGACAATAGTTGTGCCTCACTCTTTGTAATTCTGTAGATTTAGCATGATGATTAATTTTTTTGAATTGTATTAAGCACTCATCATATTCTGAACACTGAGCTAGATTGCTTTTACCAATAATTTTGTTAACATTAAAACATAATCCAGTTACAAATATTACCATTTTGCCTACTCAGTGAACTTAAAATACCTTTTCAAATAACTAGTAAGTGAAAATCTAGAATTTTAAACCAGTCCTATATCCTGGCAAGACTGTAAAATACTTTTGTCACACTGTACTACCTTGAAGAAGGAAGGAAACATATAAATATTTATTTTATTAAGTTGGTTTGAATTGATATCAATCTTGCAAATGGTTTCAAACTATGTGGGACAAATAGTTTACTCCATCTTATTGCATATTTTTAAATTATATACTTTGGAAAACAATATAGAAAGCAATGGTAAGGGATACAGTGAGGGAGGGATAATAAGTTGTAGATGACAGAATTAGGATTTGCAATGATACTGACAGATTGAAATGATGAGTTAAAGTAAATGAGATGAAATTCGACAGGAAGAATTCTGGAGGATGCATTATTATGGGGGTGGTAAAGAGGTGAAAGAGCAGGTGGGATGGTTTTAAACAGTTCAGGAGAAAAGGAATGAGGACTCAAACTCCGTTAATGGAAATGGATGTGAATGACACAGAGCATTTAGAATCTACATAAACCTTGACAAGTGAATGGGTGCAAGGATAAGGCAGAAAGAATCAAATAGGGCTTTAAATATTTGAGCCTGTATAACCCAGAAAGGTGAAGACATTGAGAGAGAGGTCAGGAGGACCTGGTTTGGGAGTCAAGTAGAAAGAAAGCATAGTTACTTCAACGTTGAGTATGCATGTTATTCAAGTGAAGATAATGTCATCTTCTTTTTGAAAACTGGGAAACTGTTGACTCATTTCCACTCTTTATTTTAGGCAAGCTGTTCAATCATTCATTATTTTTAGAGGTACATAGTATTGAACAAGTGCTTTGTGCCAAAAACAAAGCAGGGTGCTTTATATGTATTATCTTAGTTAATTGTCATAACCTGTCCTGAAAGTTCATTTATAGCTGAGAAAACTGAAGCTGACAAATAGAAAAGACAACTTAAGATATCCAAAGTCATTTGAAGACATCCAAAGACATTTGTGGAGATCACTAAAACTCAAATTAGATTCATTACTTAATTGCTCTACTTTTTGTGACGTTTCTACCTAATATGAAGGGTCACTTATCCCCTGTTTTCAGCTCACTGGACTTGATGTGTGAATTTGTCTCCCATTTTGTCCCCATTTTGGCATTTACTCATGTGCTAGATCTACCTATTTCTGGCCTCCTTGCTTAGGAGGAGCTCTGGCATATGGAACTAAAATTCTGAGTTTGACCTATCTGGCTAACTTAGCTCAACTGACCCTATCCCACCCTTGTGTAAGAGTGATCGTGGATCTCATCACACAGGAGTGTCATCTTGAAACCCTCCCACTCACTCTGAGCTTTCTAGAATTGTTTGAACTATTTCTTGAAGGTTGTGTGGGAGTTAACTGAGTGAAGAAGATAAGAAAGGTATTCCAGACTGGAGAAACAGCATGTGCAAAGCACCATGTAGGAAAGGCACAATAGGTACATGTAACTGTCTTGATGATGTTTGTTATGCTCTTCTCAATATCAAGAGTCTTTACATTGTTGGTTAAAGATAAAGAATAAGAGATGGGTAGTTGTGGGTTTCACCTCCATCTTCCCAAACCAAGTGATTCTCTCTTTTTGCTCATCTTTGTATATCAAGCACAGCTAAAGCTGACTTTCCTGTTTTCAATATTATCCCTAAAACTTATCTCTCCTTTGACGTTCCTTAGTGTTAGTCTTAGAGGTCTTATGAAATTATCTTTCATTTATAAAGATGAGCTCTTCAAAAAATCCATATGATTTCTATAGATATTCCTTCTTTATTTATTCCATTAGATATTTCTTCTTTATTTATATATAGGTTTCATTTTTGTTTTGTTTATCCTTTCTTCTCTTAAAAATATTTTTGGTGGTGGAAAGGCAAAGGAGGAGGTTCTAGACATCACATCATGCCTATACTTTGCCTACTTTTTAAATAAATGCTCTCCTAAAAACCTACATGTCTGTCTGAGAATCTCCAATAGACAATTTTTATACTTTTATGAACTCCTAGGTAACATGGCAGAAACTGCTGCTTATGTCTCCCCAGTATTTAATATTTTTCTTTACTTTCTGAGTGAAAAAGTCCACAAATTTTACCAGAACACATAATAAAGACCATATTTTCAGTCTCTTGTAGCAAAGCATGTTCTTGGGCCTAAATTTTGACAAATTTAATGTAAATAGAGATTATGTGTATGCAGAAAGTGTCCTTAAAGGAAGATGACATAAGCTTCTTTAATGAGGATGAAATGATTGGAGCTTTAGCAGCCATCTTGGACTAGGTTGAAGAGGAACACATCAGAAATGCAGTAGTAATAAAGAAGATAAAGACTAATAGCAGGCAGTATATTTAGTACTTACTATGTAGCAAGAATGATTCTTCACAGTTTATATGTATTAATTTATACATGCTTCACAACAATCATATAAACTAGGGATCTCAATTTCTTCACCCTAAATAGTACTTAAGAGCAGGAATCATGCAGACACATTAACTGGGCCGGCGTTTTGATCCTGCATTATACAATTGGTACCTTATTTAGCAAGTAAGGAGTTAAGAATAGAGTCTGAAAATGAGAAACACTCATTAAACATTACCTACTATTACTTTTGAGTAGTTATTGCAAATTACTATCCACAGTTCCAATTAACAATTTTCATTAAAGTAATTTATAGTTAGTGATTATAAATCTATTTACAGATGTAGAAATTGAGGCAGAGGGAGATGAAGTGACTTGCCAAAGATTAAATAACTAGGAAGTGGTGAAGTTGGGCTATCTGTGCTCTTAACCTGTTCTGTTCTGAATGAAAAGCTGAAAGGAGCCTGGGACCTGCACTAATTTGTGATCTTGCTACATGAATCCTGGAGAGCTGACCTCTGGACCTTTTTAGCAAAGAATGAAATCTCATGCACTAAACTAGTTAATTTGGGTTTTCTGTTGCATGCAGCTAAACTTAATTCTTCCTATAAGATGTCTTAATTTCCCCCAAGATTGCTGTCACTGCTAGATCATTAAGCAATTCTTCCTTATATCTCAAAGTGAAGTTCAGAGTAACAATTCTTGTTACCCCTTCTATGTTTTGTAAGATAAAATCATGAGCAACATTAGTGAAGAATCTCACAGGAAGTTTGTTTGAGTTTTAACAGAGTTGGTGTTCCCACAGCTATGTGGATAGATCCAGGCCCCACAGCTGTATCAGCATCTTTCCCAGCCCATTTTATCAGCTGTATTAGGAAATAATCATTCACATTCCCTACAGGCTCAGACATTCAATAGTACACTTCTCTCAATGTAGCACTAGAGTTCTCTCACTTTTTATTTTCAATCAGTTTTAAGAATATTTTTATCTTTTTTATCATAGGTGCCTGACTAGTTTATGTCCAGGGCTTCTTGTTGCTAAACTCATGCCTTAGAATTCAGTGTGTTTTGAGAAATGAAGGACCTCTTCATTTAACATAAATGCTTAGTTCTTCACCAATTCTGCTGGGATTATCTAATAAAAATATGATTGGATTTGAGTCTTGCTTTTCAATTTTAGGTGTCAGGTGCTGTTGAAAAATGTTTAGTATAAAATAGCATAAGTAAAAAATAGAGTAAATTTAGAGGTATAGTGAAATCTAATCTATTACTTTTTATTTGTTCCATCTGATGAAGCTATTAGATAATGATCTTTAGCTGTAGCATAGAAATTCATCTATAGCTGTTATAATTTTAGGCAGTTTAAATGATCTAAGCTAGATAAATAAATTCACATTAGTACATTTTAATAATTTGCTTCTTAATTTTATTTTTATAACTCTTCTCAGAAATGTGAAGCTGGGAAATTCATTGTCAGCACTTGAACATGAGGTAAAAATGAAAAAGAACTGTTTGGTGTATACTTTATTTCAGAATAACCAAATAGAGTATCTTTTGAAAGCTCATCTGTTTTCTGTTACTGCTTCTTAGGCAGATAACCACAAGCATGATTTGATTTAAAGTAGAATCTTCTCAGATATACTCTGAGGTGTGACATTAACACACTGAAGTAAATACCACAAAACATCCTTTGCCTTTGAAACGTAACTGCTGTCATAATGACCATCTGCTGGATGTAGGTTTTGAACACCCAGTGACCTCTGACATTTATGACAAATTATGTACCCAAGTGCTAGCGATGCCTTGTTAAAATGAAGCCAGAGGCCCTCAAGTTCTCAACCCCTCTTGTCTTTAAAAGCATGGGTTAAACGGCAGCAAGAGGCAGATTGGACAGAAAACAGACATGGCAAAAGCTAAAAGGAAATAAAATCCTCATCCTCTAGCCTTTGACTTTTGCAGCTAACTGCACTGCAATGTGCTTTCAACCATTAAACTACCTTAACCTTTGGAAGAGCCAAGCCAGTTAAAATTGACTGAAAATTTGCACATCACCACACAAGATTTGATTGATTCTTATTTGAAAATTGCATGGAGGACAGTCACTTACTGTAATATTCGTAACCAACAAAATATGTTTCTCAGTCACCTCTGGTGCACAATGAAATTGATGTCATATAAAAAGCAACGTGAAGAACACTTTTCAAAGTCAGAAAGTTAGTCTTGCTGTGAAACACAGTAGCACCAGTTGAATTTAGGCAGAGCAGGCTAAAGTGTAAATGTTTTTTATAAAATACATTAAAAATTTATGTTTTGGACCACAATTCCAAAGATAACACACACTAATTGTATACACATGAGATAAACCAAAGTTAGTTTGTATTTGGCATAAAAATATCTGTATTTTTTGTAAAGGTAATTATTTTATTGCTATCTAGTCAGAAAAAAATGATGTAAGATAAGGAAGGAAAGGATGGATTCGATTCTCTTCCCACTAAAAAAAATTACTTGTAGGAAAATTAGGGGTTCTAAGAATAGAACATCTCACCTTTTTTTTTGACTTATTCATGTAAAACAGACTGTATGGCCCTTGGCATCAAAAATTAGAATCTGAGCAAGAAAACCATGGAAAACTAAGGCATTTACTTATGCAACGCAAAAACCTACATCATACCTCCAAGCTTGTCTAAAAAGTAGTTTACCTATTTTTTTAAATGAGAAAACTTTTGTAACTTTGTTTTGTTGGAGATATCATTTATAGCTTTGAGAACTGCTTTAGATAAAATGCTAGCTTGTTCAAAGGAGAATTCATTAACAAGAAAAGCCAACTTATAATTAAGTTTAATACTGTGTATGGGGAGGAAAAGTCAAACCTCAGTCGACAGGTTTGACTTTTCAGATTGGATTAAATGATAAATAAAAGGAATACTAGAATTACCCCCACAATCATGATTCTTTTGGTTATGTATTATAAGCTGTATTTTTCTTATCTTTTGTCTGGAACTGCTTTTAGAGGGCATGCGCCACGCATTTAGATAAGTTTTCACTATTATCTCTTAATATAATTTTATAAGTCATGGGTGCCTGTATAAAACATGCACGTAAATATATGAATATGTCTGTATAGATGTAGACATATTTTATAATTATAACTTCATCGTGTTTTATTTGGATGTTCTAATTGGCATTTCAGAGACAAAATGTGCTCTTAGGCAGCTTGTCTGCAATATATTTCCACTTCCTTTCTGCCTTTATGTTTCAGCAAATTATCTTACTCTTATCCAATGCCTTTGTCTACTTTGTCCCTACAAAGACCACTGCTTCCTTTTGCCCTTTTCCCACTATCTGTCTTCAAAATTGGCATCTATGATGCAGTCCCCAGGACACATTTTTGGTTTGGATCACACCAATGAGTACAATGGGCCCTTAGAGATGTTCCATGGAATTGTTTGATAGGACTTTTAGAGATCATATAAAACAGTGATTTTTCCACATAAGAATTTTTTAAATTAATGGAACCCCTTTTACTTTTCCAAAGATACCTGTGGTTGAAATATAAGTGAGAGTATTAAGGCTCTGATCGTTCATCTTGACTTCTTTCTCCATGAAGTTCTCTCCAGCTAATGTGGCTTACAAAGAAATCTATGAAAAAGAGTTTGAAAAGCCCTGATATAGTCCAACGGTACAGACACAAGACTAAATTTACAAGGAGTGAAGGGACTTTGGCTTCTTGTCTGAAATTTTCCCCCTTACTCAACCTCGTTATACTTTAACACTCCTTTTCTGGGACTCCTGCTCCATCATGACCTCACTGACTCCTCTTAGATAAAGTCGTTGAATACTAGCGTGTTGTCATACACTTTTTCTCAGAGTTTTTAAAGAGTACTTCGCTGAAATGATGCCATCAGGAAAGAGATATTTTTACCTCTATCACCTATCAATGCGAGACCATAGCAGGTACCCATTAAATGTTAACATAAGTCATTATTTTCTTTAGAATTGACAAGAATTACTATACAGCCTGAGACTGGCAGAAATAGAACTAAAGTGAGCAGTTTTCCAATCTTTATTGTAACAATTTACTATGTGATTTTACTTGAGACACCTTTCCAATAAGACTTGTGAATCAAGATCTTTATGTCAGTACCCAACTCAATAAGGTTGAATGAGAATTTCAAATGTGAAATAAAATAAAATAAAATAAAATAGATTTACCTATGCTGAAGAAGTTACATTGTACCTTGCTTTGTGGTTAAATTTGTCTGTTAACACTTGTGACTGCCAAAACTATCATTTCTCCTGGGGATTTTGTTTTCCTACATTAGTATTTTCCAATCTTAGTCTTGGCTGATGGATTAGAATATTTGCCCTACCCTCCTCATCTGCTATAACTGCTGTTTCTTATTTTGTAACAAATGTGCCTCTACCATCCATTCCTAAGACTTTACACCTCTATTGTCTACCCATTGGCTCAATACTATGGAGAAAAAATTGTGGTACCCTAGGACTGTCTGAAATAGAATGGGTTCTTTTAAAATATAAAAATTCCTTCTTGTTGGTGGGTTCAAGTAGAAGGTGGCTATCCACTATCTGGATAGGAATTTATTCTTCAAGTCAAGAGGCAAGCACACGTTTCCACTATTAAATGTACCAATATATTCACATCTATATCTAAAAGCTCTGCCTTTCCCTGTTAAAACAGATAAAATCTGTATTCCTAAGGTAAAACTCTGCACTTGCACCCTCATCATATCTCTCATCTATTCAAAGATATCACTCCAGCAATTCTCCCTCTATCTCCTGCATCTTTACTGTTCCCTTCAACTGTACAAATGCAGTGTAACGTCCTCTGCCTTTAACACAAATCCTTCCTTTGAACTGTCTTCACTGCCTATCTCTGTCTACTTACCATGCCATTTCTTTCCTCTGCCTTGCAGCAAAACTCCTAGAAATAGATCCTAGAGGCATCTCAATTTCCTCTCTTTTCTTTCCATTATTTTTCCTTGAATCAACTCCAGTCAGCCTTTTTGTTATTCTGAAACTGCTTACAGCAAAATCACCAGGATTGTTTATGGGCTAAGCCAATCTCAGAATTATCTTGCCAAAGAATAGGAGACTGAGGCCTTTATAATCCCTGTATCCCATCTTGTCTTCACCAAAAATTACCTCTGTGGTCTTTGATTCCATACACCACCACAAGAGCTGAGTGAGCTTTTCTACTTTGGAAGAAATCTGGAGGCAGTGAAGCAGAAAAACTTGGAAGGTTGTTAGCATGTACTGAAACTGTCCACCACAGCTCAGCTGAGCCTAAAACTTGCTCAAGGAGATATGATAGGACACAAAAAGTACCTGCTTGGACCCTTTTTCTGTTTGCCTTTTTTTCTCTTTTCATCAAACTTCCTTCTCTCCTAACCTTTAAATTAGTGTGTGCCAGGAGTGAATCTTTAGACTTTTTCTCTTTTCTAATTACATTCACTACTTATGTTACCTTACTCAGCCCAATGACTTTAAAATCATGTTTGTGATGTTAAATTCCAATTTTACATTTACATTTTTTTCTGAACTCCAGATCCATGTGGCAGGTACCCACTCAAAATCTCTACTGGAGATTAATTCAAAACCAAACTATTGACATAAATTTACCTTATAACCCAGAAATTTTCCTCCAAGGAATCTACCCAGGAGAAGTAAATACATACATCTATATGCAGACTTGTACATGAATGTTCAAGGTTGCATTATTTATAATAGCTGTAAACTGGAAACAATCCAATTAGTGATATATCCATACAACGGAATACAATTCTGCAATAAAAAGGTACCAAGAGTTGATATATGCTATAACATGGATGAACCTCAAAACATAATACTTAGTAGAAGAAACTGGGCACAAAAGACAATATATTGTAGATTCCATTTACATGGAACATTCAGGAAAGACAAATCTGTAAAGATAGAAAGTAATTCTGTAGCTGCCAAGGGGCTAACATGGATATACAGAATCACTGCAAATGGGCCAGAAGAATTTTTTTTCGAGTGGGGGCTGGAAATATTCTGCAGTTAGATTGTATTGGTGGTTGTACAACTCTAAATTTACTAAAAATCATGAAATGCTATTCTTAAAATGGATGAAATTTATAGTAGGGAAAATATACATCAATAAAAAATTTTAACTCTTGATCTTATGCATAAATTTTTTTCCTCTTCTAATCTTCTCTCTTTCTGGAAATGTCAGCTCTGTTTTCCTAGTTATTTAGGCAATAAATCTTGGAATAATTTTTGACTCTGTTCTTTCTTTTTCATCACAAATCTAATCTGTCACTTCGACTACTGGTAACTTCCTCACTACTTTATACTGCTACCCTCTCTTCTCCACTACCGCTCTGGCAAGCTTGCCTTGACTGTAACAATAGCCCCCTCACAAGTCTTCATGTGATTATCCTCACCACTTTATTATTTATTTGCCATAAAAGCAATTATTCTACTTCTTCATTCAAAATACTTCAGCACAATTCCTTGTCAGAGTAAAATGCAAAGATGTCACCATGTTAAAGTTTCCAGATAAAATACAGGACACCTTGTTAAATATGAATTTCAAATGAACAACAAATACTTTTTTAATGCCTGTGTGTGATACAATATGAGGGACATAGATATATGAAAAATATTTGCTGTTTATCTAAAATTCAAATTTAACTGGATACTCTGTGTCTTTATTTCCTAAATCTAGCAAACCTACATCTTGGTCAAAATGGCACTCCATGATCTGGGCTTCCATTGTCTCTCTGGTCTCATTTTCCTCCTCACATGAAGACCAGCCTCTTAATCAAGCGAACATTGGTTTTCAGACAGGCGAAGTATATTCTTACTGTTAGACTTTTACAGTCGGTCTTCCCTGTACCTGCAAAACTCTTCCCCCAAGTATCAAGTGTAGTTTGTTCTCCCATTTCATTTAGTTTTAGGCTCAAATGTCAGCTATTCATGGAGGCCTTTCCTGATCAACCAATAGAAAATAGCTCCTGCAGTCTACAGTTCTCGATGGTCTCATTGAGCATTATTGATCTTCTTAGCATTTATTACAAATGAATATACAATATATTTTTTGTATATATCTGGCAGTAAAGGCAGAAAAGTTATTTCTTTTTCCTTCCTGCGTAAGAAAGGACTAGAATAGTATCCATCCATTCATTTGTTCATTGATCCATTCAACATTTTTCCTTTTCTAGGTTCTAGGTTTCAAATCACATGCAGTGACACTGTCAATGTATTAAGTCATGTATTTTTGGGAGGCAAGTGTGAAAAGAAAAGTACGGGTATGGTGAAGCTAACAGAGACAAATTGGCAGACAGAAAAAGATGTGTGTCTGTAGACTAATAATAGAATGAAGAGGATAGGAACATGGTTGCATCACTTGTGGTGTTTCCCTGAGTGACAAGCCCACCCACTCAACTGGAGTTCAGGGAAGAGGTCAAGTCAAGAGACAGTATTTGGGACTCTTCTGCCTAGGGGTGCTAGTTAAAACTGACATATCCTTAGCTCCTGTCAGCAGCTGCTCCTACACACTCAGGAACTCTCCATTAACATTTAAACTGACTGTCGAGTCCATAATTTTGTCCTTTCTCCTCCATCAATTACCCTCTTCCTTCTACAATGTTGAAGTCCCCCCAACCACTGAACATTTACCATTGTCTACATAGTTCTCCAGTATTGTCCATTTTTAAAAGGATTTCACTTTACTATGCAGTCTTCCTCCATCTTATTTCTCTTTTCCTTAATTCCTTTACTTCCTAAGCGTATTATCTCACCTCAACAATTGTATTGAATTTGAATTCCCCAAGGTCACCAATCACAAGTCCATTTATATTTTTTCAATATTCATTCCTCTAGACTTCACAGTAGAATCTGAGACCATTGGCCACTACCATTCTCTTTGCATTTTTCGTGCTTTGTTTTTTTCCAATGTTACTTAACAATGTTTCATTTTTCTTCCTATTGCATATATAGTCTTAGTTTTTCTCTAATTAATGACTTTTTCCTCTATGTTTTTGTCATCAAATGTGAATACTTGCCCAAGTTCTGTTATTAACTCCCTGTCAATCTTTCTATAGTCTCTTGTCTTTAAAAACTTCATATAGCCTCATGACTTTGAATTTCAACACTAGATATATGCCTCCCTAACCTACATCACCTGCTTTGTTGTCTTATTCCTCCAGCTCTGATAATACATCACTGTCTGCTTATTATGTGTATTTATTTAAATATACTGCAGATATTTAAATTTCACCATATTTAAAATATAACTTAAAAAATGATATATCCTGTCTTCTCAAACAGCTTTTTATGTCACTTAGCAGACAAAGCTCTGACTTACACTTCTTTCCAAAAACTGTTTTAAAATATTTGATAATTAGGCAAATATAGTTTTAGATACAGAGAAAGCTGAAAGGTTTTATTTATTTATAAACAAAGTTTATAAATAAATGTTTTTTAAAGTATGTTTTTTAAAGAACATACATAAAAATATACCAAGGTATTTTCCTTTATTATTAGTCAGCTTATTCTTACCAGTTTGAGCCTTAAAGTATCAGTGATACTTCAGAAAGCAGGATGGTAAAACTGTAGATATATATACACATTTACATCCATACTCACATTTTTCTCTTTGTTCCTTTAGCTGTACTAAACATCATATTACCTCCATATATACTAGAACACCCATCAAATCACATTCTAAACCTGTGTCCTATGCTCTCTTCTTATTCTGTCCAATTCCAAAGAGAGCAATTGAGCAGCCAGGTTGGTTGGGGGAACTCTGATTATTGTCTCTGGTCAAAACCAATCTCCCTCATTTCTGGAAATTCCACCCTGTGTTTCAATATCTAATAACCTCTCCATAGGTAGTGGGATTTCCATGCAGTAGAAGTTTGCTACAGTTGACCACATGTTTCTTTTAAAATGTTTAGCATTTATATTTGTTTAAAAAGTTTCAGATTTCAGAGAACATAAACATGTTGAAAAAATTATTTATAGAACTTTATAAGGAAAGATACAGTTAAGTATGGGATGAACAAAAATTAATTTTTAATCCATAAATATGTTTTAATCTTAATTATCTAAAAATGCAAGTTAGAAATAAATGCATGTTCATTGGATTTATAGTCTGGACTAAGAGAAGAAACCTTGGAATTTTGAAGAGAGATGATGAAAAGGTGAGAAGGGAGTTCCAATTTTTTTTTTTAAAGGCAAAATTAAACAGAAGACATGGAGAATAAAGGGAAGAGGGAAATGAGCAAATTAGGAAAGAGGAGAATTATCAGAGAAATTCATAAATCAACAGATTCGTAAGGTCTGACAATCTCATTGTAGGGCTGTGCTATTACTAAAGCAATACGGTTTTGAATTATGATAAAAGAGAAAAATCACATAGAAAGAAAAGCATAATGACCAAATACTCAAAAATACATTAGTGATATAGATAATTGATTTCATTTATGTAAGGACAAATAAAATTATTTCAAAAAATTGACATGACACGAAATAGTTCTATAGCTGCCTAGATCCTTAGGTGAAGATTTTTATGTGTGCACAAACAGCACATGCAAAGTTAGATAGAAAACCATCAAGAATGACAGCTCGTGATTTATAGTAGAGTTAGTAGAGGTTAGGTGTTTAATGTTACTTAGGCATAATTTGACAATTTGATGGAGGTTTCAAAAGAGAGAAACTATGTATATATGAATACATATTTACCTGTTAGATGTTTATATAGTTTGGCTGTGTCCCCAACCAAGTCTCATCTTGAATTGTAGTTCCCATAATCTCCACATGTCTTGAGAGGGACCTGGTGGGAGGTAATTAAAGCACGGGGGCGGTTACCTCCATGCTGTTCTTGTGATAGTGAGTGAGTTCTCATGAGATCTGATGGTTCTGTGGGGGGCTTTTTCCCCTCTTTGCTCTACGCTTCTCCTTGCTGCCACCATGTGATGAAGGACATGTTTGCTTCCCCTTCCACCATGATTGTAAGTTTCCTGAGGCCTCCCCAGCCATGCTGAACTGTGAGTTAATTAAACCTCTTTCCTTTATAAATTACTCACTCTTGGGTATGTCTTTATTAGCAGCCTGAGAACAGACTAATGCACATATGCATATATTATATAGGTCAAAAACATATGCATATATATATAATATATGCTTATATGTTATATAATTATATCACTATATATCATTTTACATTGTTGGAGAATAGTTTTATATACTAGAAAATATCTTACATAATTGGTATCTTTTTAATGCTTATACAATTTATGAAATGTGTTTATTATGATTTTCACTTTAACAATGAGGAAAATAAAATTAAGAGATGTTAAGCAACTTCTAGATTACACAGTGCATGTTAAAACAAGGTCTCAGTGAGTCATAAACGTCATGTTGTTTGTATTATAATATATTGCCTCCCTATATATATGAATGGAAATGAGGGTATAATTTGCATGGATTAAATGTCTGTATATTTCAAAATGTAGCCTGCAATTATACTTCAAAACACACTGTAAAAGACTGGTTTATTTGGGCTAAAATTTGTGAATCTAGGATTCCACAGTTAAAATGCAAACATTGTTAAAATGCTAACATGGTTATCTTTGACTATCAAATCTCCCAGCTCACAGTAATTTACCAGATCAATATCTAACAGTGGCAATAAAGAGGGAGGAAGTTAAATGGAAAACTCCGGAGTACTGGCCCTACCTGGAATAGGAAGCTCAGAAAGGACTGTCTGCAGGCAGGGCTGTGTGAGTATGGAGAGGGCTGGGTGGTGGTGTGGGGTGAAAATAAGGAGGAAACATTGAGCTCCTTAGCTAAGAGAACAGACATCAAAATGAAAAAGAAAATGTGAGAGCACCAAAACAACATTTTTTAAATTTCTTTAAGTGCTTTATATTTTATATTTTATTTTAAGACATTAAGCCAAAATTCAAGTTTGTATAACCACCATACTTTATTGATTTGAACATGCATATGTTTTCACATTTTAAACTCTTTGAAATCAAGAGTTTATATTATATTTTAGCATTATTTCATTTAAATTGGCAGCATTTTTTATTTCTTAATGGTGGTGTATTTTATATTTAATAGCATGTTAGATTTGATGAAGGATAGTAATAAGGTTCATCTGAGGATCAGAAGAAAATGTGTGTGAGTCTAAGGTCTTCCACTGATACCCAGCATTACTTCTGGTACAAATGCTATTCTGATCTAAATTTTCTAAGTCTTTAATTACAAGACTAATGTCTTTTCTAAGTATGACAGTCAAGTTCCTTGTCTGCACCATTTTCCTATGAAGATGGTATGACAGTAATTGAGAAAAATAGTTAAAACATCCCATTTATATAAACAGTATATATAAAATCTATGAAGTCCTCATGGCATTTAAAACAGAATATTAAAAATCTCACAGGATTTAAGGCACTTTTAAACAGTTTTGAAAATTATGCAAGATGTTTGATTTTTGTAACCTTCTGTAGTCAAAGGAAATATTTTTATTTAAGTAGCTGGTCTGAGATGTAAAGGTTCTGTTCAATCTAAAAGAAAGTCTTTAGTCTAATAAATTGAGTGTTGTTAAGCTTTGAAAGCAAAAGCTCTGAACTGTATGTTTCTAGCTGGATTCTCAGTTTTTGTTTTGTGTTTTAATAAGGCATAGTTTCCTATGCAGTAACATATGGTTTCAATATTTGAGCATTCTCAGCCATTTTCCCCATATGTTTGTTGTAATCAACTAACCACACATGGCCAAATCCTGCCCTTAGACAAGCATAGAGAATGCTCACTGAGGTCCAGGAAAACAAGCACACTCCATGCAACAACCCATGGTCCGAAATCAGACTTTTTTGACTATTTGCACAATATTGAATGGTACAAATAAATGGTTATTAATATATTTTTGGAAGTGACTTGGATTGTAGAGGTTTCTTTAATCTGAGAATGTCCAAGATTAATCTTGACAAAGGAGTTGCTGAACAACTTGGAGAACGTTGTGTGCAAAGATATGCATGTGTTAGGTAGTCGGGTGGGGAGCATCACACCTAATGTCAGAGTTATCCAAGGCATTATTCATGTATTTTCTTCATTCCACAATTTTAGCATTCTTCAAGGCACATAGTATACATCATCTGCTCTCATAGACTTCTATTCTAGAGGCATAATATTAATGCCAACAATAAACAAGTAAACTAATAAATAACTCAGGAAATTTATGTAAGAAATTAATCTGATTAAACAGTATAATGTTATTTAAAGTAATAGGAGTATTTTTCCTGGCATTGTTAGAGAAAATTCTTTCTCTGAAGAGGTGTTACTTGAACTGAGATCACAAAGGTGAGACCCAACCATGTGAAATCTGGAGTGAAGGTAACAATGTACTAGAAAAGAGATGGCTCTAAAGCTTGAATGAGCTCATGATTCTGGAGGAAAGTAAGATCAGAAGTACAGGCAGGAGCCAGAACACACAAATTTGTGTAGACCATGTTAAGTTTTATGGATATTAGTCTAAGCACGTGGAAGTGTTTTAAGCAAAAGAGTGATGCAAACTGATTTATCTGCAAATTTATATTTAAATATCTCATTACAGTTGCTTTTTCAAACAAATGACTACAACAACAATAATTTAGGATACTAATGGCAGATATAGAAAATTTTATTTGTTGGGAATAAAAATTGTGACACTAGCAAAGCCATTTCAAGGATATATGAAAAACCTGGGACATAATTTTGGTCTTGAGGCATAGAATCCTCATCTACATATATACAATCCAAGAAGAAATCTTCCTGTGAGCCTTAAGGGGGAAATTAAGCTACAAAATCAATCTCATGTGAATCTCACATAATTAACATAAACACACTTACATCTTTGATAATTCTTAGAAAAATTTAAACAAATAGTGTGTTAATAGTACTATTGTGACAGGTAAAGATTTTGGAAGTAGGAAAAAGGATATATTTTTGAAATTATAAAGTGATTTGCAAAATATGAAGTTCAGTAGATGCATATATAGTAAGCCTTTCACCAACCTGCTGCAATTTCAATTTGCATCAATTTTATTCACCTTAAATGTGATGCAGTGATATTCATACATCAATATTAAGGATATTAGGATTATTTGAAAGGTTTACTTTTCAAAATAGCAAAAGGAAATGATTTGATGTATAAGAAGGTAGTTACCTTCTAACCTTCCTGCTTTGGTCCTCTAAGATGATGAGAAAAGTAATGTCAAAGGAAAATAAATAAGTAAATAAAAGTTTGGAAACATCTAACAAATATTTCCTTATAGATTTATTTTCTGAATATCTAATTGTTTTTTGGTTTTACAGTCTTCACTAAGTTCTATGGCACTTTTAAATAGTTCCATATGTTCAATGACATATAGAGTTGATCTCAAACCAGGATTGCCCTTTAAAAGGCTAAAGAAATTGGTAGTTATATACTGTCAGGTGATTGGACTTTGGAGATTTTAACACAGCATGAACTTATTTTTTTGTTTTGATGCTTTTGTATCTCACTCCGTCTCCCAGGCTGGAGTGCAGTGGAGCGATCTCAGCTCACTGCAAACTCTTCCTCCAGGGTTCAAGCGATTCTCCTGCTTCAGCCTCCCAAGTAGCTGGGATGACATGCGCACACAACAAACGGCATGGATTTCTAAAGTAATTTGTAGACATTTCCTACTCATTAGCTGCATTAGTAAGGTAAACTGATTTATGCTGTGGTAACACAACAACTCCAAATTTCAGTGGCTCAAAACAAATTCAATTTCCCCTTTATTCTCTATGTGGTTGACAAGAAGATTCTGCTTTTCATAGTCACTTGGGAATCCAGGTGGATGGAGGCTCCATAATTCCTTTTCAATCGTTTTTATCGAGAAAACATTCATATAATATGGAATTCACCATTTTAAACTATACAATTTAGTGGATTTTAGTGTATTTGCAGTGTTGTGCAACCATTACCACTAATTCTTTCACCCCTAAAAGATGCACTATATCCATTAACAATGACGACCAATTCCCATTCCCCTCTACCCTGTCAAACAATTCTTTACTTTCTTTCTCTACGGATTTACTTATTCTGAACATTTCATATCAATGGAATTATATAGTAGGTAGTCTTTTGTGACTAATTTAGTACAATACATTCAAGTTTCTTTCATGTTGTAGCATGTATCAGTACTCATTAATTTTGTCTAAATAATATTCCATTGCATGGATATACCACATTTTATTTATTCAATAATTAGTTGATGGAGATTTGGATTGTTTCCACTTTTTGCATATTGGAAATAATGCTGCTGCCAGCATTTGTATACATATTTTGTGTGCATATGTTTTTAATTCTCTTGAGTATATACGTAGAGAAAAAGAATAGCTGTGACACAGGGTAATTCTGCTTAACTTTTTGAGGAATTACCAAACTGTTTTCCACAGCTGCGCCATTTTACATTCCCACCTGCAATGATGGTTCCAACTTTACATCCTCACCAACAATTTTTATTTCTTTCTCTTTTAAAATAATCATCCTTGGAGGTGTATGGTGGTACCTCACTGTGGCTTTGATTTGCATTTCCAAAATGACTAATGATGTTAAGCACTTTTGTGTTATTGACTATTTGCATATCTTCATTGAATCAAGGCCTATTCAAGTCCTTCACCAATTTTATAATTGGGCTATTTCTCTTTCTGTTGTAAGACTTATTTTTATATTTTGGATATTAGACTGTTATCTGATAGATGACTTACACATATTTTCACTAATTCTATGGTCATTTTGCTTTAGTAATGGTGTCTTCTGATGCACAAAATTTTATGTTTAGGTAGAAGTCTAATTTATCTATTTTTTCTT
This sequence comes from Homo sapiens, assembly GCF_000001405.40. NCBI lineage: Eukaryota > Metazoa > Chordata > Mammalia > Primates > Hominidae > Homo > Homo sapiens. The sequence continues at coordinate 92,649,799 of NC_000005.10, read as the reverse complement.
TAGTCTGTTGTGCTTTTGGTGTCATATCTAAGAAATCTTTGCCAAATCAGTAGTCCTGTAGATTTATACCTATTAATTCTAAAAATTTTTATAGTATTAGGCCTTACATTTAGGTCTGTGATTTTTTTGAGGTAATTTTTGTTTATTATAGTAGGTTTTCGTACAAATTCATTCTTTTGCACAAGAGTATCCAGTTTTTCCAACACCTTTTGTTGAAAATTTATTTTTCTTCATTGAATACTCTTGGTACCTTTGTCGAAAATTAATTAAATATAGATGAATGGGTTCATTTTTTGAATCTCAATTTTATTCCATTGATTTATATGTCTAACCTTATGCCTGCACCACACAGTATTGATTACTGTAGATTTGCAGTAAGTTTCAAAATATGGAAGTGTGAGTCTTCCAACTGTTCTTGTTTTTCAAGATTGTCTTAGCTATCTAGCATCACTTGGATTTCATTATAAATTTTCAGATCACTTGTCCTTTCTGGAAAAAAAGGCACTTGGAATTTTGGTAAGGATTGCATGGAATCCGTATATCATTTGGGAAATACTGCCATCTTAATAATAGTAAGCCTTGAAATTTACTGACAAAGGGCATCTTTCCATATGTTTTATAAATTTCAGTGTACAGATCTTGCACTTACTTGGTTTAAGTTTTTCCTAAGTATATTTTTTCCTTTTGATGCTATTATAAATGGAATTGGGCTGGCTCATAGTTGTAATACCAGCATTTTGGGAGGCCAAGGCAGGAGGATCACTTGAGACCAGGAGTTCAAGATCAACCTGGGTTCTACCAAAAATTAAAATTTAGCTCGGTGTGGTGGTGTGCACCTGTAGTCCCAGCTATTTAGGAGGTTGAGGTGGGAGGATTGTTTGAGCCCAGAAGTTCAAGATTGCAGTAAGTTATGTTTGAGCCACTGCACTCTAACCAGGGCAAGAGCGAGAGAGTCTGTCTCTAAGTATTATACTAATAATTAATAAATTGAATTGTTTTCTTAATTTTATTTTCAAATTGTTCATTGCTATCACATAGAAGTACATCTAAATTTTGAATGTGAATATTGTATCACATAATTTTGCTGAAGGATTTTAAAAAATGTATTAATACTGTCTTTTATATATTATATTCCTTTATATTTACCTGTGCTGGTTTCCTTACCAGTGTTCATTTCTTCATATAGATGCAAGTTATTGTCTATTGTCCTTTTATTTAAGCCTGAAGAACAATTCGTAAGGCACATATACTAGCAACAAACTCAGTTTTAGTTTATTTGGGAATGTTTAAATTTCTTCATAATTTTTGAAGAAGAGTTTTGCTATGTATAAAATTCTTGATTGACGGGTTTTTTTCTTTTGATTCCTTGAGTATGTTACTCCATTGCCTTCTAGCCTCCATGGTTTCTGATGAGAAATCACTTCTTAATCTTATTGATAATCCTTTGTATGTGTTGAATCACCTTTCTGTCACTGCTCTTAAGATTCTTTCTTTCTTTTTGTCTTTAAGAGTTTGATTATTATATTGAGATTCTTTTTCAATTTATCCCATTTGGAGTTTGTTACGCTTCTTGGATGTGCAGATTAATGTTTTTCATCAGTCATTTTTTTTCAAATACTCTGTCCCTTTTCTTTCATCTCTGGGACTCACATTATATATAAGTTGTTATGCCTGGTGATGTCCCACAAGTATCTTAACCTCTTTTCATATTTTTAAAAATTATTTTTTCTATTTTTCAGACTGGATAATTTCAATTGACCTATCTTCCAGTTCACTGATTTATTCTTCTGCTGGCTTTAATCTGCTATTGAGCACCAGTAAACAATTTTTCATTTCAATCTTTGTAATTTTTAACTCTAGAATTTCTTTCTCTATGTATTATATATGTGTATATATATACATATGTATGCATATATATATATTACATCTCTTTTATATTCTTTACTTGGTGAAATGTGGTTCTTATACTTTTATTAAATTCTTAGACATGGTTTCCTTTGGATCTTTGAAAATATTTAAAATAGCTTATTTAAAGTCTTTGTCTAGTAAATCCAATGCATGGACTTTCTTGAGGGACAGTTTCTATTAATTGCTTTTTTTCCTGTCTATAAGCTACACTTTTCTGTTTCTTTGCAAGCCTTTTAATTTTTTTGGGGGAGGGGGCAGAAAACTGAACATTTTTAGTATAATAATATTATGTTGTAACCCCGGGAATAAGATACCTTGCCCTATCTCCCCCTGCCAGAGTTTTTCTAAATTGCTTTAGTACATTTACATTGTACACAGAGTATTAAGTAGAACCTTATCATTTTTCCCAAACTCTCATAGCTTCTCATAACATAGAAGTACTCTGTACAAAAGGGTAAATTATTTCTAGTTATTGCTTTACTTTTAAAGGTAGCTTAGTGGTTTTGTGCCTCTAAGAAACTACTTTCTGAAGGTATTCAACTTTACAACAATAATTTTGTCAAAAGGTAGAAAAAAGTAATATTTATATGAAATGATTTATTGGTACCCTATGTAAAATGTGTCATGGTTAAGTACACATTCCTAGGTAAAGGTTATAATTTTGATCCAATTCAGATGACATCTGGTTGAGGTTTAGAAACAGGTGATGTGACATGTTGGACTGAGTTCTAAGATAGATGCAGAAAGTGTCCTCAGCTCTGGCATTGGATTGTTAGAGGAGTTTTGGAGTTTGGTCTCTTTGAGTCAATTTTCTTAATTGTATAATGAACATAGATAATTTCTAACAATCTAAAATTTGAATCTACAAACCCCTAAATTACTTGGAGTACTGACTATTGGCCAAATTATGTCTAGGAATTTATTTCTCATAGAGTAGATTTCTCTGTTCACAGTGGAGCTTGTTCAATACCTGACCACATCTCAAATTTTGTAGCTATTAAAATAGAATTCTCACATCCCTGTTTTGTCCTTTCAGGTCTATATTTCTAACTCTGAAGATAAATGAAAACTGTCTATTTCCTGCTTTCCTCTAAATATCATATTTATTGTGTCCCCTTTCCATGTACATGACATGTCTTGTTCTTGCACACTGTGATGATTCAGCATTGAAGGAAGAGTTAGCTCTTAAGTGATAAGAGGGTTAAATGATCAACCTAGTAGTTATCAGGGATACTGACAAGCCTTTTGTACAATAGAGATCTTCAAAGGGGGCAAAGCAGCAAGATCTGTGAAGCTGATATCTGCAGCTCTAGCAAGACCCTGTCCAACCCCCATCACTACCATCCTGCATCCTCTTTATTCTGTCCCCATACCCTGTGAAGATAGTGTAACAAGAGGTTATTTGAGGGGAAGGATAAAAGTGAAGATGGTGCCTGCTCTAATTTTTCTGTCAAATGCCACTACAGACAGGAAAACACATTCTCTAATGTCTATACCTCCATTCCAGCAGGTTATATCTTTACTTCTCCACTGTCCCCCACCTCCCTAGCTCTGGTCTCTGCTGTCAGGCCCTGGTGAATGAGGAGAGTAAAACATAGATACTGCCTGTAAAAGTGTAGAGTGATTGAGTAGAGGGATTTTAGTTGAGTCTCCCTTTCTCTCCATTGTCATAGCATGTAATTGTAAGACTTTCTTCATCAACAAGTGAGGACCATGTGCAAATGGGTAAATCTCCCATTTCTAAAGATTTACAAAAGATGAAATTCCAAATTAATTTTGAATTTAATTTAATTTAATTTAATTTAATTTTTTCCTCTCTTCATTTGCTAATGGAAAAATAATACTTTCCTTAAGCAAAATAATTCACAAGAACATCAGTTTTGCATAGAAACCAGTCATCATTTTCATGATCTCTTCAATGTATGTTCTTTCCACTAATGCTTACAGTTCAATGTTTTGCTGTCACAAAGCAGCATAAATAACCCTGATGATGAATCTATCGAGAAAGTTCCAAGAATACAAGAATAAAACCTATTTAATTTAGCAAACCTGACTGGGTGCCATGCACGCCCTGAGCATAAAGTTAATGTTACTCAAAATCTGTACTTCCTCGTCCTAATAGTTATTGTATAGATGAGGGTTTTACTTATTTATTTAAGAAACATCAGTCTTCACAAATAAAGTAAAAAAAAATGGCAACTGAGGATATTTCACAGTCAATTATGCAAACATTCTCATTAAAGCTTTTATGATAGTTTCTGTGCTATAGGGTGTCATGCCCCAGTCCAACTGCCACCGCAGCGTGGCCCCAACATGTACCAAAGTGACATCTTTAATATTCAACATAATGAAAAGGGCCAAGCTATATATATTAAAGTATGGTGACTTAACACATATTCAGTATATTTTTCAGACTAAGCTACTTTTGCAGATGAAATGAACTTAATAAGTAATATTATATTTAAGTTTTTATAGAAAACTTTAGGGGCCAATGGTTTCCAAAGCATCTACACAAATTCTTGAGGTAGTAACTTTGGTACTGAGGGGTTTGGATGTACTCATGTCATAATACTTGGGAAGGTTTATGAAAAAGTATATAGAGAGAGCACAGACTATGATCCATAATGGTACTAAATCAAAAGTTGATGTGTTGCACAACAGGTGGGAACTCCTGCATGCTAATAATGATTGCAAAGGGTTAATGTGAGCCTCACTTAATGCACAGAAAAGAGTTAATCTTGTAGACAGGGATGAAAGTCCTTCCATAATTTGATGCTTTGTACACAATGGTCATTAACTGAATATTGTGGCTGCCTGAAATATAGTGAAAAATACGAGGAAAAAGTGACAGGATTTTTAAAAAATCTGTTTAGGCCCTGACAAACAAACAAACAAACAAACAAAAATCTTGATCACTCTTGCTATGCCAGGCTTTATAATAATTCTTTCATACATTTTAAAGATAGAAACACTTTAAAAAATCTGTATTTAAGAGACAAGCAAAGGAAAGCAACCAGGCAAAGTTCCCAGAGAAGGAATGTGCAAAGCAGTTTGAGAAAAAGTATAGCACTTAGAAAAGCCTGGGAGAAAGGGGGAGGCAAGGGGAAGAATATGTTCTGATAACAATGGAGTCCGTGCAAGTGACAACTTACACAGAGGTCAAATAAGAGAAAGACTAAACCCTATCCATGTGCAGCCCTGGTGACAGCAATTTTGGTCGAGTAATGAAAGTGGCAGGAGAGAGGGGAAAGGACTTGGCATAGGTATCTGCCAAATGTCAGCGAGTGAAAGGAGTTGACTCTTCATGACCTTTATTTTCCTTACTGAGTGGTAGTAAAGGTTATATCCTGAGGCTGAGGGATTGGGGTTAGGGTAAATGGTTTGGAGAGAGGGGACTGAGTTTGAAACATTTGTTGTAAAGAATGGGTGAGAGAGCTGACCAGAAAAATCAAAGAACTTTCAGGCAGCCTTGTGGACCTGATTGGGATTGCAGACCATGACGACAGAGGGTTATAAATGCTTTAGTGGGACTCCAGGAACTGCTGTGAATTTTCCTGGTTAAACTCTAAGTTTCTCTTGAGGACAAGGACTATATCTTACTTAGCTTGCTGACCTCAGCAGAGAAAATAATACCTGAACTCTAATTAATGAGCTACAACTATTTACTATATGAAGAAATATTCATCTATGTGATAGGATGGCAGCAGAAATTATTGATTTTTATTCGCAGGTATGAGCAGATAAATAAACTTCCTTGTTTTCTGATTATGCCAGCCATATCCCCAAATTCTCACACGTAGTTTTCCCTTCTGGTATCTCTTTCTTTCTGGCCCAATATTTGTTCTGTCACATGATAGCAATCATAGAATGCTAATTATCCACCAAATTAACAACTGCAAAATCTTTACAGTGGAGATTTTTGGTATTATAGCTGTATTAAGGGAAATATCCAAAAAATCTATTTTCTATCACATCAATGTAATATTTCCTAATAGTAAACAATTAGAAATTCAGTTCCGGTTTGTGAAATCAATATCTTTAATGCTAAATAAATGGTATTGGAACTTTATATTAAATATCTTGTGCTGACCAAATGGTGAAATTCTAAGTAGAGTTAATTCACAGCTAGAACTTAAATTAAAATTCTAAACCAATTCTGTTAAAGGAAACCAATAGTTAGGAATGTTATATCTCTCATTGTTTCTGTTTCCTTAATACCTAGTGATAACCTTTTTTTTTTTCCACGTGTGGTTAGAAGTAAGCAATGATACTTATAAAAAGGTAGAAGAAAGAGTGAGGGTTTGTCAGTAGACTAATATGAAGGGATGATTCTGGATACATGATGGCCAATCTCAGTCAAGCCATAAGACAGCTAGGACCAGGCATTTTTCACATCAATTCAGAATAATCTTTGTGCTTTTCCATTAATGTTAGCAATATTAATGAATAGAACAGGCTGGTACTCAGGAACATCATATAGATGATAGCTTTCAAAAGGAGACTATATGGGATGTATGAGAACGTCAAGCCTTCATCCTAAATTGTGCAGACACTAGTCTTCACTTAAAAAGTATGCCAGAAAAAAAAAATGCCTGATCACAGTCATGTTTTAAGATCTTTAATGCTTGTCTATGATTAGGGGTAAAATACCTTTAAAAACTTTTTTTTTATAGAAATTCTGGCTTTTCTGTGAAGATCAGCCTCTTCCTAAGCTGCATCAACTTCAAATATTCTGCTGGCAGTGTCTGTACAAGAGGCTGCTAGGCTTCAGTCTGCCACAGGCCCTAGGATTCTACAGGGTCTAGAATCCTATGGTGTATGTCTATTCATTTCAAATGGTTTTCAAAAATAGAAAAATGTGAGAGGATGAATGCTTAATATTAAATAAAAGGGATCCTGTGCTACAAAGCATACATTCTACCTCTGTTGTACAGAATCATAATTTTGAGGTTGAAATTTATATTCTTAATGTAATTTGAAAGTGGAACATAGCTTTTAAAACAGTAAAACAATAAAGGTGGCCATGCATAGCTTACAGATAGCGCTGTGCTGATAATGCCTGCACAGAGGTGTCAGAGTTCTCCATGAACAGGTTACTTTAAAAACCAGTCAAGATACCAAGATAAGTATTAAAACACTTAAACTGTAGTCTGAAAAAATAAGGAGTGAGAGAGAAAGAGAGAAAGAGAGAGAGAGAGAGAACTATGAGTTTTGCATCAACACTCTTGTAATACTGAGACTTAAATTCTCATTTGGTTTCTGCCTGGGTACTCCAGGCACTCTATGATGTTAATTATATTTTACAACTCCAGAATATCATTAAGAATATGTGAAATCCTCATTTATATTATTTTAAATTTGCATGTATTCTTATATATCTTTAGGGCTTGAATAATACTAACAGGTAAAAAAAAAAAGTCAAACAAATATCTCATTATGAACAATGATGAAAACAGAATATGTACTTACTAGTACCCTGTACCCATTTAATAGAATTTGGTGTTTATAACTATAGTCACCATGTGTTTTATTTTCTAACCACAGGATGGAAGGCCATTAATGGATTTTTATTTTCAAAAGAGGTATCTTTGCAAATCAAAGAGAGTCAGAGAATGCAAATGAAAATTGCAGTAACTGATTATCCAGCAGAATGCTTGCCTTAAATGTGAGAGGCGGTTTTGGAAATCAATTACATCAAATTTCACCATTCTTTACCTGGGCAATATTTTCAAATGCATTAATTTCCAATTTAGGTTATTAAGTGTATGACAAATCTGAATATACATTGCATGTTTCCTCTCATATTTTAAATTTTGTATCCAATTACACAAAGAGGCAGATGCAGAATACTTTTATTTTAGGATCAATTATACCATATTGATAAATGAAAATGACATTGCACCTTATTATAATTATTAATAAAACTATTTCTTCAATGGAAAAATTCTGTCATTTTTCTCAAAGGCTCAGGATTTTCCTTACTAAAATACGTCATCAGTCTTTCAGGGAACAACAACAACAAAAACGACAGAGAAATAGTTTACCCTATAACTTTTACCACTCCCTCCTGCCATACCCCTCCCCTCTTGGCGCCAAAGCAAAAACACCAGAAAATTACTTGAACTTGCCAGACAGACTTTGCTGTGATTAATTGTCTCACTAGTGTATGTTCCACACTTCATTTTATGATTAAGATTTCTGACTCAAGAAATTGTCAGCAAAAGACAATCTATCAAAGTTTAAATATCAGCAATAAAACAGTACAAGAGATATTCTGTGACTACTTAGAACTGAAAGTATTTTACTGAAAAAGGTTTGTTTTCTTTGGCAGCCTTCCATGACCTCCTACTGTTGACAAAACTAGCAGCCTGTCCTGTTTGAAGTGTAACTGCACGGCAGAAGCCGTGGCTTCAGAGCACTTACAGGATTTATCTCTAAATTAATATTTTCATCGAACACACTCACGATATACCTTACATAATCTTTAAATTATAGGAAAACGCTAGAAGGAGGTTCTGAAAGTCAGTGGCTGAAGTCATGCCAGAGATTTATGAATCTCTCAAGTCGACATTTCTGACTGACCTACAGCACACCAGGGCTGCTATTTCCTTTTCCTGATTCATGATAAGTGCAACTGCCTCCAAATAAGCCTCCGGAGCCCATTAATGCTCAGTCCAGTTCCTGATGGTAAATATGCACATCTCCAGTCTCACTTTTAATGTTCAGCTGTGATGACATTGCATAGAAAATCAGGTTACAGCCCTTTTGAGTGTATTTTCACTGTAGTGTGGGCACCCCAAAGTCCAGCTTACCTCTGGTTCTAATGAAAGGTACTGCTTTCTCATGTATTTTGCTTATAAAGAATAGCAAAATTGTTTTTCCCTTACAACATGGGTTTTAAGGTCCTGGACTGTGATTGTGATGCTTTCCATTTTTCTGATGTCAGCACCATGGCCAATTAACAAAATTACACAAAGATTGATATGAAGGTAAATATTAAAGGCACAAAAGGGAAGGGAGGGCAGATTATTTAAAATGTCAGAAAAGCCAAGACATTCATCTTCCCTGCTGCAATTTGTTTTTCATTAGTAAAATGTACATTGTTTTCCGCTTAGAAAAGTTATTAGTGGCAACACAGTCTGCATGAAGCTTTGTCTCTTCTGAAATGAAGTCTTTGTTTAGACATCGGTGATGGGGGTTTTGTGCCATTGTCTAATCTGTCAGATTAGATGAGCAAGTGTATTTAGGGGTGCAAAGATGTGCAGCCACACCTGCTGTGCAAAGCTGTGAATTCACAACTCTTCTGACTATTAAAATGTGTTATGCTGGGAGCTCTTTTGTTGTAATGGAACTGTTGGTGGTTGCGTGTTTGAAGTGGCGCAAGTGTCAGGCCTTATCACCATCATAATAATCACTCCAAAAATAACCTCATATTTTGACCATTTAATGTTAATGTGCAGCAAATTAAAGGCTAAGCACCTAATAGGTTTGAGAACACTAAATTGATTTTACACTCAAATTTTCCTAAGCAAAAACAGAAGTCTATTAATGAAATAATATTCATGGTTCAGAGAAACTGTAGTCATTTAAGAGAGTTTTGAAATCATACAGAAAGCAAACAAAGAATGCACACCAAACTATAAAGCCAATATTGTGACAATAAAGTTATCATCAGGAGAATGATATTAACTTCAGTGCTCTTTAAAGAATGCTAATTATCATTTCTTTATTTGTTGATGTTTGTGTTTTTCATATGAATGTACCATGATATTTTAGTCTTCCAACTAAATATTGAATTCTGACTAAATAGAGATAATGGATAATGCTCCTGCTTATCCCTGATTAAACAGGCCACTTTGTTTAAGGCTTCTACTATTTTAATTTGCTAAAATTTAGCTGCTTTTAATATAAAACAAGATATTAACTGCCTCATTTACTAAGTTACCATGCAGTTTCTTAAATGTGCTTTTCTACCTAATTTTTATTTTTGATATTTTCTTGTTTGGAGTTTTGATGTTCTTAAAAGATTTGTTGAGTGTCTAATAAATCTGTAGGAATTTCATCCTATAAGAATGCAAATTCTTGTAAGTTAGTAGAGTGTTTACTATAGAATGGGAAACTATTTTTTTCAATATTAAAAAAAAAAAAAAAAAAGAAAAGAAAAGAATGCTAAACCAAAGAGCCTCTGTTGTCACTTTTAAAACACTAAGCAGCTTGTGGCAGGTTTAATAGACCCTAATCTAGAGAGGCCTTTTTCAAGACCTTAGACCTGTATGGCCTCATTAATTCAAATGGTACGTGACAGTTCAGAGGTATCCTAAACCAGCCATTACCTGCATAAACAGGTTCTGATGCCAGTGTGGCACGTACATTGTCCTCAGATCAGAATTCCTCAGACTCGATAGCTATGATAAGAGAAAACCTCGGAAATACAAGAATTCTTTTTCTGTAAGTACTAATTAAATCTGATCACAAGTTATAGCCAATTCTCTTCCAAAATAGATTTTTAAGTATTTTTAATATTATCCTAGGAGAAAATATTGCAAACTTAACACGAGAAAGATATTGGTTTGAAATATTAAAAGCTATTGGCATCCTTCAACTCTCCAAAAATTGTCATTTTACCAAGACTCAGGCATATGATTAGGTTGTTCTCAGTTGACAATCATCATGATGCTGAGCCCCAGATTTAATATTGTGTAACATCTGGATTGTCCTGCCGATATAGCAGGGTGACAGCTTCACACATTCCTTGAAAAGAGGTGTCCACACACTGACAGTTACTCATCATTCAGAAAATGAAAAAAATAATAAAATGGAAAAAAGATGTTCTTCCTGATCTTAATTTAGGCTAATCTATGTAAAATACATTATCTAATAGCAGCCAGCTATTAGGTAATACCAGAACAGTTTTCTGGCACAATTGCAAATTGCAGCTGTCTGAATTATAGCAAGAAATGTTTACCTGTGATACAAAAGGCAAAAAGTTTTTACTAAAGGCCAAACTTCCTACAAAAAAGAAAATTAAGAATAATTAAAGATTTGGTTTAATTAAATTAATGTTCTACTAATCTTAAATTACTTCTCTTTTTTACCCCTATATAAGTGCCTTATGAAGACATTATATCTGAAAATGTTAAATCTGTAAACCTAATATTTTAATTAAATCAGTGTCAAATTAATTTTTAACCATCACTGGTCTAAAGAAGTCTCCTTGATAAGAGGATTGTTGATCTTAAACCTTTATGAAAAAATAATAAATATTTCTTTTTAAGATGTGCTAAAAATTTTCTCCAAATCATTTATATCCACTTTTGCACTCATTCTCTTCGAAAATATTGTTTTTTTGATCGTTTATATTTTCCTCAGAACTCCATGTCCTTGTTTTTAGCTCCAATTTTGATCTGGATAGGCAAAATACTGATGCTTTTTAAAACTTTCCTACACAGACAACATTTAAGGAAAGGCAGATACACAAAGATTGGTTTCCACATCCTGAAATTAATGAAAGTCACTGTATGCAGTGGGTCCTTAGGAGAAAAAATACGTTATTTTAAGGGCAATATTAAAACAATGTTATGCAGACTTCTTTTGCTCTGCAGTATATCCAGCCCAGCTAAAAAGATTCAGTAGTCTGACTTACATTTTTACGTGCTGGATTAGTCTTTATATTTGTTTTGATAGAAAAGCAGGCAACAGCCTATTTCATGGACAATAAATTCAAGATAGTAATGATGAGATAGTATTGCCTCAGCTAAGTGTGCCCAGATTGGAGGGTCACATATTTGACCTCGATCTAGTATGGTCCTTAATGAATCTATATACTTGATTAGAGTTACTGTCTTTTTATGGCCCAAAATAGCTTTGCATGGAAAACTAGCTCATTTTCAGTAGAGTGGGGAGAATCGTTTTGCTTCCATCACATCCCTAAAACTTTTCCAAAGACTTTTAAGTACCTGCTCTAAAATGTCCACCTTCCAGAAAGCTGTTCTTCTCGTTGCCAATTCTGGTTTTGTTTTACAACCTTCATTACACAGGCAAGACATACCTCTCTGTCACCTTTGAAAAAATTCTGATTTCTTAAATAATCAGCAGAATTAATGAGATGTTGTATTAAAGTGCCAGTCTAGCAGCTATTTCAGAATTTTTCAAAGCTTCCTTGCCTATCCCATTTTATAGAAAAGAATAGAAGAATTGATGTTGGCATGTTATCTTGAGATTTGTATAAATAACAGTAAAAAATCAGTAGTGAGGATTAGAACTTGGAGCCATTACATGTCTTTTCTTTTTATTTTCTTTGCTTCTTTCATTCAATTATTTTTGTTAGTATTCTATCAGCTTCAAAATAACTGAGATTTTTATGGGTTCAAGTCACAGATAGCACCATGAATGTTCCTTTTTGCATGCAATGTGCCCTCTTTATTATGCAATGTGCTTTTACAGTCTCTCTGCTTCCAAGGTGTAGCTCTCTCCTTATCTGTGCAGAAAACTCCATCTATCTGTCTCTCTGCTTCTCCAACTACATCGCTCACTCTTAATTCAAGGAAGTGATTTCTTACTTCTTGTCACTCTCTTTCTTTCTCCCACTCACTCTCAATCTATCAGAATTCGTTTTCTGTTTCTGTGATTACTCTGGCCTCATGTTTCTCTCTCACTCCATTCCTCTTTGAAAAATATGACCAAGAGTTTTCTTTCCTGTTGCTTTTTCTTCTTTAAATGCATCTCTAGGAAACTCTTCTTTTCCCTCTTTATCTTTTCTTTACCTTTTAGGACTTGGAGAGCAGATAAAATTAGACTGTAAAAATACCAATTCTACAGCACTATGTATACTCCTGAAGAAATAAATATTTAGCGGGGGTGGGGGGGTGGTTTCCAAAAGTATTAAATGGTAGGCTTCTATGCTATTTAGCTCATTAATAAATACAGTGAAGGTTTTAAATCCATGATATTTACAGACAAAATGAAGAGCTACTAGGTGTGAGGTACTGTATCTAAAAACCAAAAATTAGAATACAAATAGCCTGGCTCTTTATATTTCCAGCTATGTTTCTTATTGTTGGACTCAGGTTTGAATCCACAAAGACCAAAAGTATTGGAGTTTTAAGTTTCTTAGTGTACCACTTCATACACTTAGAATGCTTTCTTATTGTTACTCCTCCATATCTAAAATGGGTTGGTTAGCTATTTCTTAATATATGATTTTGAGTGGAGGTATTTATTTCTAAATTATAGTGCAGAATAGTTAAGTCATTTTAATAATAATAGGAGTGTCACATGGAATTTAATAGCTAAAGGAGGATATTGTAAAGCATTACTATTTTCCTCAGCACTTTACAATGAATGTAGTATAGGTCAATCAGTTTATCCTAAGTTTTAAAGGTAAAATAAAACACAACTTAAACAGGGTTTAGTGCATCTACTCTAGAACTTCTTTCTTACTGGGATTAAAAATAAGGTAAATTTTAAATGATATATCACCCAAACGAACATTTCATAAATGATCATTTTCACAGATATTTCAATTCCACGTAATTCCAATTTTGAAGGTGAAATGTTAAGTAACTTTGTCAAATGAACTTTGCCTTTAAAAAGGCCAAAAACTATTGGCATAGAGATCTCCAAATATTCATGAAAAACAAACAAACAAACAAACTAGGAAACAAATTTAGGAGAAAAACAGTCCTCACAGTTTAAACTAAATTAAGGACTCTACAGGAAACCCTACCATCTCTGTAATGTAATTTTTATTATCTTTTTACTCAATGAAATAATAACTCATGCACCCTTCCAATAATTACTAAGGGGGAAACCCTGAATGATAGAAATGTAATTCAAAAGGAAATACATTGACTTTCCTTTGCTTCATGTAATTGTCACATAAGTAGGCAATAAGCTATGATGGAGGCAACCTCCATGGCTTATTGTAAGTGAGCTCACATTTCCATAGTCCATTTCCACCTACCCAAATAGATTGAAATATTTAACATGATGGTAAAGCTCAGTTTTTTCCCACCTCTTCTTGACAATAATTCTATAGTTCAATATCCTGTGCATTTTTCCTTGAAGAAGATGAAGCATTATTCTTTTTGAGTGATATTAATCTATTTTGCTATCTTTGCAAGGATACATTAACCAGGCCAAACTCTGAACATGTTTTTTTTTTTTCTTATCATAGAAAAGACAGCCTGATAGCTCATTAAAATATATGAATGAATAATAACTTCTTTCTTTAAATGAACTAATATCTATTTTAATGAGGCTTGGTTTATAGTGATTTGCTGGCTGAAGTGCTCTTCTTTCTGCCTAATTATGTGCACAGCTTTCAGACAACAAGGAGTGTCTTTAACATTAGTTAAGAACCTGGGCTTTTATCTCAATCAATAGTCTTTAGCCTTTGAACTCCTGTCAGTGGAAGACCAGTCCGTCACGTTCAGTTCTACCTGACCTCTTTTTCTTCTTGATGCATGCTGCCATTTACAAAAGAAACACACACACACACGCACATGCACACACACACACTCAAACATGTGCAAACACACCCACACACACACCTAAGGTACAAGCAGGCAAAGTGTTTAGATTATTTGTGTGCCTGTGTGTGTATGTGCACGCGCACAAGCACGCGTGGACAGGACCCTTTATAGCTGTAAAGATGTGTGACTGTAATGATGATGTTAAAATTTTCTTGTTTCCTTTCACTGGGCTTTGTGTATCTCAAAGGAGCCCCATATGGTGCTCTTTGTCCGTGTCATTACCTCGTTACAGCCACTGTCTGCCAGCCAAAGGTAGACCAAGCGCTGCAGCTGTAGACAGCGATACAACTGGAATTGTCTAAGGTCAACAGTGCCGTAATTACTTTAAAATGTCAGCGTACAATAAAATACAACAGTTCATCTGGCAGAAAGCAAATTAGCTTTGACCATAGCGTAATTACCCTTTTCTCAGCACCATTAGAAGAGATCAAATCTCCACATTCAGTGTTTGAGGAAAGGCCATCAGAGTACACTCTACCTGACAAGGATGCACATTTGCCATTTTGAGATGTAATTAATTGTCCCTATAATAGAAATTTTTATATTTGACTCTGGAATTGAAATGTGTAATAACCTGGCTTCTTCATTTTAACCATTTTGATGCTGGAAAAAAATATATGTTTTGCCAAGTACAAATAGGTAGTATCAGTAACACCCAGAACACATTTTACATTTTGATAACAATTAGCTCTACTGCAGGAGTGATTTTTCTGAAGTGACTTGCACACGTACTGACAATGATACTAATGTCTAGATCCTACATCAGAGGAAACAAATTAAGAAATTAACATCATTACACTCTTCCTTTCATAGCTTCTTTTTCTTCTTTGCATGTGTATTTCCTGTCTGGCTGATAACGTAACCCGAACTGTCTTTTAGACTTATTAAATTGATTTCCGCCACCGATCTTCATCTATACCTCTACCTCACACATGAGGGCAATCTGGGCAAAAGAGTAATCCCGCTCCAATCTCCCACAGGATTAATGTGCCATTATGCCAAGAACATCCTCTTTCTTTCAGACACTGATCATTAATGATGAAGGGTACAACTGCACCAATGATACAGTAATTTGATTAACTCAGAAACAAACAGCAAGAAGCTGACCAGTGACAGTCCCTGTAGGGCAAAGTCTTCACTGATTGTTGACTTTCATTAATATTTAAGGGCGCCAAAGATGCTTTAAACTGATTTGAAATGACTTAGGTGTCTGAAGCAGCCTTTCTTCTTGTGCCTGGTTGTAGATACAGATGAAACAGCTGTTTTGTATCAGAAGAGCCTTGCACTGCATTTAGGGAATTCCACCACCATAAAGATGTTTACATTTTCTTGATGTTTCAGTCACTGTGTTGTGGGCTGCTTCATAGTATTTCAAATGAAAGAGTGTTCTCTTGAGTTCAGAAATTTCCCTTTTGAGCACAGATTTCCGGGGGGGAAAACTATCTAGGCAACCAACAAGGAACTTTATAGTTGGTAAGAAAATTCTTAACATGACCCCTTTTTATTGAACCATTGCTAGTTTAAATGTGCTAAAGCCAAAACAACAAACACACTATCTGGCAAAATCACCGTAGCATGTCATTGATCAGTTTATCTCTTCAGAGCAGAAAATTATAGCATATACTGGGCTTGCTCCCCAATCACTGGGTTGCTTTGTTCTTCTTCAATATATGCACAGCTCTTAGATTGTGCCACAATGTAAGAAATAATCATAGCAGAGAAATATTTTAAAAACAAACAAAATGGTCAGATAAAACTCTTCAGTGTAATAGAGGTGAACATTTAGGAAGAAAGGAAAATTCTTTCTTTGAGGTCCATCTAGTCCTAGATTAAATCAAGATGCCTGTAAATAATATATTTAATAGATAATTTGTGGAATTCAGGGAAGTAAATATCACATGGTGAGCTTGGAGGGACCAAGTTGGGCTAATACTTTTAAGTTGGCAAGACTAACCAAACTGGGACTTCTGGCTGCCCCTGAGCATAAATTAATGACTTGCTGTTACTTTGAAAAAGAAGTAATTTTCTTTCACCCACTAATTCTTGGAAGAGCCCTTGGCAGGCCAGTCACACATCATCTGAAACAGTCTGAAGCTTGCATTAGCCCAGAGTTTAAGGATTTTTACAATCTTATCTAAATTCACCTTTACTCTTACCTTTTCCCAATCCAAACTCTGTATTCCAGCTGAACTAACCTTCCCACAAGCCATGCCCCTCCAGGTAACAATGGGTCTTTCCACCTCATTGCCCCAATGCCTTTTCTTCTGCTTACTACCTCTCCATGATTTTTATATTATACTTATTTTTTCTCACTAGCATGTCTATAATGCAGCTGTCCTTTTCCATTTCACAATTATTTTCTTCTGAATATCTAAAAATTTTATCATCTGTTAAAATAATCCAGCAAGTAGATTGTTTTAGTTTTTAGATAATCTTCCTTTTATTTCATTTGCATAAATCTTGTTTTAATAACAAAAAATATTTTTTCATAATGTCAGGAATTATACATTATGATATTACTTGTTGTTGCTTTCATCACTGGTCTGCCTTGACATAATAGAATTTGGAAAATTCCACTTTCATGTGGAATGTAAAATAGTTGAACTCATGTAAGTAGAAAGTAGAATGGTGGTTACCCGAGTTGGAAGGGATGAAAGTAAGGAGCCATCCATCAAAGGAAACAAAATTTGAATTATACAGGAGGAATAAGTTTTTGAGATTTATTGCATAGCATGATGACCACACTATAGTTAATAATAATGTATGTTAATGTGTCCAGAATTGGTGGGTTCTTGGTCTCACTGACTTCAAGAATGAAGCCACAGACCCTCGCGGTGAGTGTTACACCTCTTAAGGTGGCGCCGTCTGGAGTTTGTTCCTTCTGATGTTCCTATGTGCTCGGAGTTTCTTCTTTCTGGTGGGTTCGTGGTCTCGCTGGCTCAGGAGTGAAGCTGCAGACCTTCGCGGTGAGGGTTACAGCTCATAAAAGCAGTGTGGACACAAAGAGTGAGCAGTAGCAAGATTTATTGCAAAGAGCAAAAGAATAAAGCCTCCACAGTGTGGAAGGGGACCCCAGCGGGTTGCCACTGCTGGCTCTGTCAGCCTGCTTTTATTCTCTTATCTGGCCCCACCCACATCCTGCTGATTGGTAGAGCCGAGTGGTCTGTTTTGACAGGGCGCTGATTGGTGCATTTACAATCCCTGAGCTAGACACAAAGGTTCTCCAGGTCCCCACCAGATTAGCTAGATACAGAGTGTCGATTGGTGCATTCACAAACCCTGAGCTAGACACAGGGTGCTGATTGGTGTATTTACAAACCTTGAGCTAGATACAGAGTGCCGATTGGTGTATTTACAGTCCCTGAGCTGGACATAAAGGTTCTCCAAGGCCCCACCAGAGTAGCTAGATACTGAGTGTTGATTGGTGCATTCACAAACCCTGAGCTAGACACAGGGTGCTGATTGGTGTGTTTACAAACCTTGAACTAGATACGTAGTGCCGATTTGTGTATTTACAATCCCTGGGCTAGACATAAAGGTTCTCTACCTCCCCACCAGACTCAGGAGCCCAGCTGGCTTCACCCAGTGGATCCCACACTGGGGCTGCAGGTGGAGCTGCCTGCCAGTCCCTCGCCGTGGGCCCATACTCCTCAGCCCTTGGGTGGTCGATGGGACTGGGCACCGTGGAGCAGGGGGCGGCGCTCATCGGGGAGGCTCCTGCCGCACAGGAGCCCATGGAGGGGGTGGGAGGCTCAGGCATGGCAGGCTGCAGGTCCCGAGCCCTGCCCCGCCGGAAGGCAGCTAAGAACCGGTGAGAAATCGAGCGCAGCGCCGGTGGGCTGGCACTGCTGGGGGACCCAGTACACCCTCCGCAGCCACTGGCCCGGGTGCTAAGCCCCCATTGCCCGGGGCGGCAGGGCCGGCCGGCTGCTCCGAGTGCGGCACCCGCCAAGCCCACGCCCACCCGGAACTCCAGCTGGCCCGCAAGCGCCGGGCGCAGCCGCGGTTCCCGCTCGCGCCTCTCCCTCCACACCTCCCTGCAAGCTGAGGGAGCCCGCTCCGGCTGGCCTTGGCCAGCCCAGAAAGGGGTTCCCATGGTGCAACGGTGGGCTGAAGGGCTCCTCAAGTGCCGCCAAAGTGGGAGCCCAGGCAGATGAGGCACCTAGAGCCAGCGAGGGCTGTGAGGACTGCCAGCACGCTGTCACCTCTCATTAAGGTATCTCATATTTCAAAATGGCTAAGATAGTAAATTTCAAATGCTTTCACCACAAAAAATAAGTAGGTGAGGTAATGGGTATGTTAATTAGCTTGCTTTAATTATTCCATATTGTGTAGCTATATCATAATACCATGTTGTACCCATAAATACATGCAATAATAATTTGTCAGTTAAAAATAAATACATAAGAAGTTTAGAAAATTTAGAAAAAAATAAAGGTATCAGTCCCTATACAAAATTAGTGAATATGTATTACATATGTTGAAAACAATTACGAAAAAACAAGATGTGACAGTCTTACACCCACTTTCTCAAGTTCAATTTTTTTCCTTTAATTCAGTGGTATAAAATAAATAACTCAAAGTGAAAATGTTGTCTACAAATACTACAAATGACACTAAAACAAAGAAACTGTAAATCGAGGGCTAATATAGGTTGCTGTGTTAATATACTTAGTGTCTGGATAAAATAAAAGCAATTCATAGGGAAATCACAAAATAAATTGATCAAAAGATATTGTAAAGACAGGATAGAGATAAATCTTGCAAAAAAAAGATCAATATTATGTGCGACAGTTAAGAGTTAACATATTTCTTACAGAATTCAGCCTGCATTACAGAAAGGCAAAGAAGCTGAATAGAAAACAATATACATCAGTTTTTTATAATAAACTTAGCATCCATTTTATTTAATACTTCCTTTACGTTAGTAACCCAAATAGTTGAAGTTCTATTTTTATCATAAAATATTTGTTAAAACTATCACCTCCCTTGACTTTTTCCTTTAAATACTGACATCTAAAAGCATTTGTTTTTTAAGTAATTGAAGTCATTAAGTCTGTTTTCATTTAAACTTTGAGTGAAATTGGACATGCAAGGCCGAGTACTGGGCTTCAGATTAAAAAATAAAGATAGGTATCATGAGAGAGTCAGGTTGTTGTAATCTATATATATTTATCTTTTAATTATTTCCACAAAACCCCTTATTTTGAAGCTAAGTAATTCTACAAGAAATGCCTAGAAATTTTAATAGCTTTAGGAGTCAATTTATTCACTACTCTCCAAGATAACTATTTCATATCTTTACTACTCTTGTTAAACCTCAAGACCTCCACTTCCTCTAATTCTCAGCTGATGACCTGGCTTTTATTCCACTGACAAACACAAAACAAAACAAATAAAATGGGACTTCTGTCTCTGGCCAAGATGAAATAATGGAGACCAGCTTTACTTTCCAGACCCAAATAACTAAGAAACAGGCAAAATATATTTTTTAAAAAATTTCAAAAGAATGTAATGAATCTAGCAGCACAGGACAGTGAGAAACTGGAAATCAGTGAGGTAAGCCCTACTATTGACACAGTTTACTGCCTTGAGAGATGGCTGGACTGCTACAGGGAGAGAAAACACAAGGGAATCCAGGCAGAAACCAGCATACTCCCTGCATTGAGCACACAGAGCTGAGAGTCTGGAGAGATTAAGGTAGGTAGATTTTCCAGGCTGAAGTTCCAGAAAAAAAGCGATCTGCATGAAGAGAGAGCCCCAGAGAGCTACAAAAAATATCCAGTATCAATGATGAGAACTTGCATGTGAAGAAACAACCCAAGGCCAGAGAAAGAATCAAACAGAAGGGATTGAAGGAAACCATGCCAAGGATCACACACCTTTGAGAATAATGCCCGATTCCACCAGCTAGACTGGAAAAACTCAAAATTCATGGGACACTCCAAAGATGACTCAGGAAGGTCTCGATTCAGTAGTGAGGAATAATTAGCCCTAGACTAAGCACTGTTCTATATCTGCCTTAAAAATTGTAATAGAATATCTAAAAGGATCAAATTGTTTCCAAGTAACATAATTTTATTCCAATGTAAAACTCATGAATACTTATAGGAATACAAAATATTCAGCATGCAACAAGATAAAACGAACAATGTCTAGCATCCAGTAAAAGATTACAAGGCATACAAAGAAGCAGGAAAGCAAAATAAATAATGAATAATCAATTTATCAAAACTGACCCAGAACTGACATAGACATTAGAATGGCAGACAAAAATATTTAAACAGTTATTGTGATTATTTTATAAGTTTAAGAAAGTTAAGGGGAGACATGAAGTGTATAAAATGACCGTTAACCAAACAAGACACCCAAACCAAACTTTTATGAATGAAAGCTAAAATATCTGACATAAAAATTATAGTAGATGAGATTAGTGGCAGATCAGACTTTGTAGAAGTTAGAGTTAGTGAAATTGAATAAAAAATAGCAACAGAAACTATCCAAAAGGAAACATACAGAAGAAAACAGTTTTTAAAACTGAAAATGACTTCTGAAAGCTGCGAGACAACTTTAAGTGAGAAAATAAACATGCAATTTGAAACCTTAAAGATGAGTGGGTGGGAGATATTTGAAGATGTTGTGGCTGAAAATTTTTCCAATTTTATGGAAACTGTAAACCTACAGATCTAAAAAGTTTAATGAACCCCGAGCACAAGAAAAGAAATGTAAAGAAAATTATACCAACAAACATCATTAAAAAATTGATCAAAACCAGTGAGAAAGAGAAAATCATAAATGCAGTCAGATAAAAAGACATATTACCAACAAAGGAACAAAGAATAGGATGACAGCAGATTTTTTGTTGTTGTTGGAAATAATGCAAGCAAGAAGCCAGAAAAGCACTATTTTCTAATTACTGAAGGAAAAAAAAATTCTGACAACCTAAAATTTTAGACACAGTGAAAATACATTTTCAAAACAAAAGTAAAATAAAAAATCTCAGATGAACAAAGCTAAAAGCATTCGTCAGCAACATACTTGCACTCCAAAATAGTAAAGGAAGCCCTTCAGGAAGTAAGAAAATAATACCAGATTGAAATAAGGGTCTACACAAAGGAATGAAGAATATAGACAATTTTAACTACATAAGTAAATATGTAAGTTTTTTTTCCTCTTAAGATTTTTCTTATATTTCTTACATGTCTCATTTTAAAGGTAATGACTGATTAAACAAAAATAACAATGTATTTTGGGGTATATGGCATCTAAGTGCAACATATATAACAATAAAAGTATGAAGGTCAGAAGGGGAGAAATGGAAGTACACTGCTGCAAGGTTCTTATACTATATGTAAAGTGACAATATATCATTTGAAGGTAAACTGTAATAAATTAAATATGTATACTCTAAAACCTAAATCAACCATTAAAATAAAAAAACAAGAAGTCACGAAAAATAACCCAACAAAGGAGATTAAATAGTCATAAAAATATTCAATTAATCTAAAATAATGCAGAATGGAAAATCTGTATTTTACTAGTCATAATAAATACAACTAAAGTGACTATATTAATATCAAAGTGGATTTCAGAACAAATGATATTCTAATGATAATAAAATAGGTCCTTTCATAATGATAAAAGAAAATTAATCAAGATGATAGAAGAATCTTAAAATTTTCTGCATTTAATAACAGAACATTAAACACATGAATTAAAAATGTAGCTGTAAGGTGAAATCAGTAAATCCACAATTACAGTCAGATTTCAGTCTCACTCTTGCAATGTCTGATAGGACAGACTGACAGAAAATCGACAAGGAGATAATAATTTGAACAATATTATCAACCAATATGACCTAATTGACTTCATAAAACATCCCATCTGAAAAAACAGTATGTACTTTCTTCTCATGTGCCCATAGAACACTTATCAAGACAGATGATATACTGGACCATAAAACAAGTCTCAACAAATTCAGAAGGATTTCATTCATAAAAAGTTTGTTCTCAAACCACAAAGGAATTACCTTTCAAATCAATGACAATACAATTTCAGAAAACTCTCCAAATATTTGGAAACTAAATAGCACACTTCTAAATAAAGTATGAATCAAAGAAGAAATCCAAATGGAGATTAGAAAGTATTATTTAAATGAATGAAAACACAACATGTCAGAATTTGTAGGAAGCAGCTAAAGCAGTTCTTAGGGAAAATTTACAGCACAAATTTTCACATAGAAAGTCAAATTAGTCACTTAGACTTCCAACTTAAAAAACTAGAAAAAAGAACAAACTCCACAAAGTAATTAGAAAAATAGATAATAAAGATGAAAGAAAAAAACTGAGAGACATTAGAAAAAATCAGTGCAACCAAAATGTGTTTATTTTAAGAAAAAAGTAAACCTCTTGTTAGGTTGTTCAGAGAAAGTAAAAAATAGAGAAGAAACAAATTGTCACTGCCAAGAATGAGAAAGATGACACTATAGATTTTAAAGGCATTAAAAGGAAAATGAAATAATGTAGTGACCAAATTTATTCCTATAAATTAAAAAAATAGATGAAATAGACAAATTACATGAAAGAAGTAGTACTTAGGCTCACTTAGTAACAAATAGCTTTAATAGCTCTCTATTTATTAAAGAAATTTAAATTGTGTCTTAAAATTTTTCAAAAATGAAACTCAAGACCCAGATGATTTCACTGGTAAATTCTACCCGAAAGAAAAAAATACTAATTAGGCAGAAAATAATATAGAAAATTAAAAAGGAGAGAATGCTTTCCAAAATTGCTCTGCTATAAAAACCAAAAACATAACAAGAAAGGAAAATTATAGACCAAGATTTCTCATGAATATAAATATTCTAAACATAATTTCAACATACATCCAACAATATATTAAAAAGATAATACATCATAATCAAGTGGGGTTTATCCAAGGAACATAGAATTGATTTATTATTTAAATACTAAATAATACAATTCACTATATTAACAAACTAACAAGAAAAAGTAATAATAATCTCAATAGATGAAGAAAAAGCAGTTGACAAAATTCAATATTCACTTATAAAAAACAAACCAACAAACAAACTCTTCACACACTAGGATTGAAAGGGAACTTCTTCAACCCGGCAAAGGGCATCTTTAAACTTATAGCTAACAACTTATTTCATGGTGAAAGACTAAATACTTTCCTTATAAGAACAAGAGATGTATCTCCATGCACCCCTTCTACTCAACATTTTCTGGAAGTGCTAGACAGTGAAGTCAGGCAAGAAAAATAGAAGGTGTTAAGATTGGAATAGAAGTAAAATTGCTGTTATCTATAGATGTCATGAGCATCAAAGTAGAAAATTCAATGAAAACTAAAAAAAAAAAATGCTACAAGTACTAGTGAGTTTGACAACACAGTCCATATACTTTGCTCACATATAGAAATGTAATTGATTTTGTGAGATTTGTAAAATAAAACTATAAAACATTTCTGAGAGATTATAAAGAATGCCTAAAAGAATGGAAATATTTAAATTGTTATAGATTGGAAGATTCAATATTGTTTATACATAAATTATTTCCAAATTATCTATAGATTCAATGCAATCCCAATAAAAATACTAGCAGATTTTTTTTGTAAAACTGGTAAGATTATTCTAAAATCATATGGAAGTGCAAAGGACCTAGAATTGCCAAAGTTACTGAAAAAGATAAACAAAAAGTTGTGTGGCTAACACTACGTAATCTCAAAAAAATCCTTTTGATCATCTGTTAGCCCAAAATTCCATAGATATGACGTTAAAAATACGACACATGAAATAATACTTTGATGAATTAGACTTAAATTTTAAAACATCTGCTTTTTAAAAAAACACTGTTAAGACAATGAAAAGACAAGCCACAGACTGAGAGAACATTATTGCAAGTAATATATCCAGTGAAGGACTTGCATCCAGAATATATAAAAAATTCTAAAAACTCAATAGTAAGGAAAGAAATCATTCATTTTTTAAAATATGGGCAAAATATTTGAACTTTACCAAATAGGTAGATTAAAAAGATATATGCTCAATATTATCAATCATTAGGGAAATGCAAATTAAAACCAAAATTAAAAAACACTACAAACCCATTAGTATAACTAAAATCAACAAACGTGATCATACCAATCATTGGGGAGAATGTTGAGGAACTGAAACTCTCATATACTGCTGATGGAAATATAAAAATGGCATAACCGTTTTGGAAAACAGTTTGTTCATTTCTTTAAATGTTAAAATACATCTATCATCTGATTTATCTAGTCCACTTCTAAGTGACGAGATAAATTTTTCCAGGAGAGAAAAATTAGTATACAGGTATACAAAGATTTATATAGGGACGTTTATAGTAGCTTTATTTGTACTAGTAAAAAACTGGAAACAATCCAAACATCTATCAACAAGTGATTAGGTAAACAAATATGTTATATCCATACAGCGGAATATTACTAAGCAATATAAAGGAATGAACTATAGATATATACAACAACATGGATGATTTTTCAGAAGAACTATGCTGAGAGCAAGAAGCCAGACAAATCATATATTTACCGTATGGTTCTATTTGTACAGAACTCTAGAAAATACAAAATAATTTATAGTGACAGAAATTTGATCAGTGGCTGACTGGGGAGAATAAAGATGGAGGCACAGAAGTGCAGGGAGAGATTATAAAGGGTCATAAGTAAACTTGTGGGAGTGATAGATTTATTCACAGTCTTGATTTTCGTGATGGCTTCACTGAGGAATGCATTTGCCAAAACATAACAAATAGTACACTTATATGTAGTGTGTAGTGTAGTATATGTGTAGAGTATCCCAACTATATGCCAACTATACCTTACTAACTGCGGAAAAAAATAGAAACAATTATAAGAGAAATAAATCACCTTTTCACCATGGAATAAATCAGACTACCTGCATCTTTACCTGATACTCAGTCTACTCTTCCCTTACTATGGATGAACTGCTCTGCTGCTATCTGTGGCTACTCTCTCATATTTGTTTACCTATCCCTCTCCACCTAATCAAGGTAATCATTCTTGTAATTTTTTCCTCTATTTCACCAATTTTCTCTTTCTACTGAAGTACTCTATTTGCATACAAACATTCTCTGATAGCTCCCATACTATAAAATAAACCCCTTTGACCCCACATCTATCTATTTTGTTGTTCCTTTTTTTTTTTTTCAACAAAACAGCTTAAGGAGTTCTTATTTTCCCCCATTTTCTTACTTTCTCTAGCCCATATGAATCAGAGTTTAACACCCACTACTCCACTGACACAGCACTTTCTAGGGGCATTATCAGTTCCCATCATGCCAATCCAGGGTTCAGCTCTGTGTTTTCAAGCTAATTCATTTCTGAGCAGCTAATAATGTAGTTAATATCTTTTCCTTCTTGAAACACTTTCTTCAGTTGGCGTCCCTTGTTATCCTTCAACCTCACTGAAACTTGTCATTCTCTTTTGCTGACTCCTTTTCTTCTTCTAAACCTCTAAATGTTGCAATTCCCTAACATGTAGATATTAACCGTAATTCT
This sequence comes from Homo sapiens, assembly GCF_000001405.40. Classification (NCBI taxonomy): domain Eukaryota; kingdom Metazoa; phylum Chordata; class Mammalia; order Primates; family Hominidae; genus Homo; species Homo sapiens. The sequence continues at coordinate 92,623,781 of NC_000005.10, read as the reverse complement.
AATTATACTCTCTCTGAGTGATTTCATCCAGTCCCAATGTTTTAAACATCATCTATTTGCTGGTGACTCCCAAATGGGTACTTTCAGCTGTCACCTCTTCCCTGAGCTTCAGACTCATTAATTGAACTTTGAGATTTAATAATCTGTTTAGACTAACAAATCCAAAACAAATTCTTAGCTTTATGACTCCTAAAGTCATCCTGTTCTTTGACTCCATGATACTATCACCTTTCATCCAGTTGCTCAGGCCAAATCCTAGAAGTCATTTTTGATTTCTCTGTTTTGGTCAAATTTGATCCTTCTTCAAATTATTTCAACAGTACTTTCCAAATATATCCCAAATACAATTATTTTTCAGTTTCCAGCACTAGCACCCTAGTTTCATAGTTTGTTATCTCTCACTTGGATTATGATGGTTTCCTAACTAGTCTCCTTATTTTTTCTTCTGTCCCAATACTGCCAATTAGAGAGATCATTTTTAATAAGGTAAATCATATCATGTTTCTTCCCTGCTTAGAGCATCTCATAGCTTCCTGCTTATCTTAGAATAAAATTAAGCCTCCTTACCATGGTCTTTGATGTCCTAGATAATTTTGGCCTATGCCTACTTTCCTGTACTCATTCCTCTCCATGCTAGAGTTTACTCAGTATGCTCCAGCCACACTGGGTTATTCTGTGTTTCACAAAACACTGCGTTTTTCATAGCCTTAAAAATTTGTACTTGCTTTTCTCTGTAGAAGCACTTTTGTACTGTATCATGGCTAATTATTGTACTATCCATATCTCAGCAGAAATGTCACCTCCACTGAGAAGTCATTCCTTATCTCCTGTCTAGAATAGCCACCACCACCATCCCCTGTCACTTTCTACTCTCACTAGAATTATCTTCTTCAAAGCTCATTACTATCTATTTATTTATTTTTATCTCTTCCACAAGATAGCAAGCTCCATGAGAGTAGAGACTTCATTCATTTTGTTCAATGCTGGTGTCCCAGTATCTAGAATAGATTCAGAGCTAGTAAGCACTCAACAAATAGAAAATATGTACTTGTTAAGTGAATAAATGAATGTCTATTTTATATTATTTGGATAGCATACTTAATGCTCAATAGTTCCATTTTAAGGTATTAGTCAATTTTAAAAGAGTTTGGCTTCCTGTCTTGAGATTTTTCTTAAAAAATATATTCCCCAAATAGAAGCAAACACAGGCAGTTTTTACTTATCTCTATGGCATCAGATAATGAGATCGTATCCTAATATTTCCTGATTATGGTCTAATGACATAGTGGGGTAAAAATGGAGGCTCCAGGAAATGTGTTTACCACCACAGTGAAGAATTCTGTACTGCATGTATGCCTTATACTGGCTAGTTTTTTTTAATGCTATCTCATTTATTCACAAATACAACCATAAGTATTTACTTATTCTTACCATTTATATTTTACAGACAGAGAAACCCAACTCTTAAAGTAAAAGATAATTAACTTATCCATTATAACAGAGAAGTGTATGAATTACCTGGGGCAGATTTGGGGGTCAATGAGACCTGAGTTTTACCTAGCAAATTTTCACTATAACCTCATAGGTTTTGAGAGTTGAAATAATAAAAATATTAATTGGATATTGCTCTCCATATTTAAAGATAAGTTGTCTTTAGTCAGTCTTCTATTTTTATGTCTTTGTCTTTTTCTCTTTTTTATTCTCTTTTACTCATTCACTCAAAATATAAAATGATTCCCAGTAAAGGCCAATAGAAAAATTTTACCTGATAACATGACCAGATTATTCAGGGATTGACTTTTTTTTTTTTTTTTCTAAGAAGAACCAATATAGGACTACAAAGATCAGGATGACTGTGTTGATTAGAGACCTAGAATGAAGGAAGTGATGTTTCTTATTCATTATTATTTTACACAAAATGTTTCTTCTGTTTCACTTATGGCCTACTGCATCCATGCAACCATGCCACTGATATATGCAACTGTCCACAAACTACATTGAGTAAGAGATGGTGAATAGCTGTAGATCTCTAAGGGTAGTCATCAGCCTCACCTTCCTTTGCAAAATACTTTTGAAATCTTTGTGCTGAGTACCATTTTAAAAACTAGGCAATTTTCTCATGGATAGAAAGAATCAATATCATTAAAATGGCCATACTTCCCAAAGCAATTTACAGATTTAATGCTATTGCTATCAAACTACCAATGACATTCTTCACATAATTAGGAAAAAACTATTCTAAAATTCATATGGAACTAAAAAAGACCCTGAATAGCCAAAGCAATCCCTAACCAAAAAGAACAAGCGTCACATTACCTGATTTCAAACTATACTACAAGGCTACAGTAACCAAAACAGCATGGTGCTGGTACAAAAACAGACACATAGACCAATGGAAGAGACTAGAGAGCCCAGAGATAAAGCCATATACCTACAACCATCTGATCTTTGACAAAGTCAACAATAACAAGCAATTGGAAAGGACTTCCTATTCAATAAATGGTGCTCAGATAATTGGCCAGCCATATGCAGAAGATTGAAACAGGACTCCTTCCTTACACCATATAGAGATTTAAATGTAAAGATTTAAAGATTTAAATATAAAGCCTACAACCATTTAAAGATTTAAATGTTAAGTCTAAAACTATAAAAACCCTTGAAGAAAACCTAGGAAATACCATTCTGGACATAGGTCCTGGCAAAGATTTCATAATGAAAATGCCAAAAGCAATTGCAAGAAAAACAAAAATAGCCAAATGGGACCTAATTAAACTAAAGAGCTTCTGCACAGCAAAAGACACTATCAGAGTAAATAGACAACCTACAGAATGGGAGAAAATATTTCCAAACTATGCATCCAACAAAGATCTAATATCTAGAATCTGTTAAAAAATTAAATAAACTGACAAACAATAAAACAAACAACCCCAAAAAGTGGGAAAAGGACATCAAGAAACACTTCTCAAAAGCATATGAAAAAATGCTTAACTCACTAATCATTAGAGAAATGCAAATCTAAACCACAATGAAATACCATCCCACACAAGTCATAATGGCTATTATTAAAAAGTCAAAAGATAACAGATGTTGGTGAGGTTTCAGACAAAAGGGAACACTTATACCCTGTTGGTGGGAGTGTAAGTTAGTACAGCCACCATGGAAAGCAATTTGGTGATTTCTCCAAGAACTTAAAATAGAACTACCATTTGCACCAGCGACCCCATTATTGGATATATACCCAAGGGAATATAAATCATTCTACCATACAGACACATGCACATGTATGCTAAACGCATCATTATTCACAACAGCAAAGACATGGAATCAACCTAGATGTCCACCAATAGTAGACTGCATAATGAAAATGTGGTACATATACACCATGGAATACAACACAGCCATAAAACAGAATGAGATCATGTCCTTTGCAGCAATATGGATGGAGCTGGAAACCATTATCTTAAGCAAACTAACACAGGAACAGAAAATCAAATACCGCAAACTACCATCAGAGAATGCTATCAACAACTCTATGCAAATAAACTACAAAAGCTAGAAGAAATGGATAAATTCCTAGACACATACACCCTCCCAAGACTAAACCAGGAAGAAATCGAGTCTGTGAATAGACAAATAACAAGTTCTTAAATTGAGGCAGTAATTAATAGCCTACCAACCAAAAATAGCCCAGGATCAGATGGATTCACTGATGAATTCTATTATAAGTACAAAGAGGAGCTGGTACCGTTTCTTCCGAAACTTTTCCAAACAATTGAAAAGGAGGGAATATTCCCTAACTCATTTTATGAGGCTAGCATCATCCTGATACCAAAACCTGGCAGAGACACAACAAAAAAGAAAACTTCAGGCTAATTTCCCTGATGAACATCAATGCGAAAATCCTCTGTAAAATACTAGCAAACTGAATCCAGCAGTGCATCAAAAAGCTTACTCACTACTATCAAGTCGGCTTCATCCCTGGGATGCAAGGCTGGTTCAAAATACACAGATCCATAAACATCCTCCATCACATAAACAGAACCAATGACAAAAACCACATGATTATCTCAATATATGCAGAAAAGGCCTTCGATAAAATCAACATTCCTTCATGTTAAAAACTCTCAATAAACTAGGTATTGATGGAGCATATCTCAAAATTATAAGAGCTATCTATGACAGACCCACAGCTAATATCATACGGAATGGGCAAAAGCTGGAAGCATTCCCTTTGAAAACCAGCATAAGACAAGGATGTCCTCTCTCACCACTTCTATTCAACATGGTTTTGGAAGTTCTGGCCAGGGCAATCAGGCAAGAGAAAGAAATAAAGGGCATTCAAATGGGAAGAGAGAAAGTCAAATGGTCCCTGTTTGCAGATGATGATTCTATATTTAGAAAACCCCATTGTCTCAGCCCAAAATCTCCTTAAGCTGATAAGCAACTTCAGCAAAATCTCAGGATACAAAGTCAATGTGCAAAATCACAAGCATTCCTATACACCAACAATAGACAAAGCAAGAGCCAAATCATAAATGAACTCCCATTCACAATCACTACAAAGAGAATAAAATACCTAGGAATACAGACAACAAGGGATGTGAAGGACCTCTTCAAGGAGAACTACAAACCACTGCTCAAGGAAATAGGAGAGGACACAAACAAATGGAAAAACATTACATCCTCATTGACAGAAAGAATTAATATCATGAAAATGGCCATATTGCTTAAAGTAATTTATAGATTCAATGATATTCCCATCAAACTACCATTGACATTCTTCACAGAATTAGAAAAAAACTACTTTAAAGTTCATGTGGAACCAAAAAAGAGCCTGTATAGCCAAGACAATCCTAAGCAAAAAACAAAGCTGGAGGCATTACACTACCTGACTTTAAACTATGCTACAGGGCTACAGGAACCAAAACAGCATGGCACTGGTCGCAAAACGGACATATAGACCAAATGGAACAGAACAGAGAACTCAGAAATAAGAACACACATCTACAGCCATCTGATCTTCAACAATCCTGACAAAAACAAGCAATGGAGGAAGGATTCCCTATTTAATAAATGGTATTGAGAAAACTGGCTAGCCATATGCAGAAAACTGAAACTGGGCCCCTTCCTTACACCTTATACAAAAACTAGCTCAGGATGGATTGAAGACTTAAATGTAAAACCCAAAACCATAAAAATGCTAGAAGAAAACCTAGGCAATACCATTCAGGAACTAGGCATGGGCAAAGACTTCATAAGAAAACACCAAAAGCAATTGCAACAAAGGCCAAAATTGACAAATGGAATCTAATTTAACTAAAGAGCTTCTGTACAGCAAAAGACACTATCATAAGAGTGAACAGGCAACCTACAGAATGAGAGAAAACTTTTGCAATCTATCCTCTGACAAAGGTCTAATATCCAGAATATACAAGGAACTCAAATTTACAAGAAACAAACAACCCCATTAGAAAGTGGGCAGAGGATATGAACAGACACTTCTAAAAAGAAGACATTTATGCAGCCAAGAAACATATGAAAAAAGCTCAACATCATTGATAATTAGAGCAATGCAAGTCATAACCACAATGAGATACCATCTCATACCAGTCTGAATGGCAATTATTACAAAGTCAAGAAACAATAGGTGATGGCGAGGCTGTGAAGAAATAGGAATGCTTTTACACCATTGGTGGGAATGTAAATTAGTTCAACCATTGTGGAAGACTGTGATGATTCCTCAAAGACCTAGAACCAGAAATACCATTTGACCCAGCAATCGCATTACTGGGTATATACCAAAAGGAATATATATCATTTTACTATAAAGACACATGCACGTGTATATTTATTGCAGCACTATTTACAATAGTAAAGATATGGAACCAACTCAAATGCCCATCAGTGATAGACTGGATAAGGAAAATGTGATACATATACACCATGGAATACTGTGCATTCATAAAAAGGAATGAGATCATGTCCTTTGCAGGGACATGGTTGAAGCTGGAAGCCATTATCCTGACGAAACTAACACAAGAACAGAAAACCAAACACCACATGTATTTACTTATAAGTGGGAGTTGAAGAATGAGAACACATGGACACAGGGAAGACACACTGGGGCCAACTGGGGGCTGGGGGGTGAGGGGAGGGAGAGCATTAGGACAAATAGCTAATGCACGTGGGGCTTAAAATTTAGACAACAGGTTGATAGGTGCAGCAAACCTCCATGGCACACGTATACCTATGTACTTGTATCCCAGAATTTGAAGTAAAATGAAGTAAAATAAAACAAACAAACAAACTCTTAGCGTTGTCAAATACAAGGAAAGTCTAAGAAACTGCCAGAGCCAGGGGAAGCCTAAGAATAAATGACAATTAATGGAATGTGGAATATTGAAAAACAAAAAGAACTTCAGGAAAAAAACAAAACAAAGACATCTGAATAAAGTGAGGACTTTAGTTAAAAAAAAGAAAAAGAAATCAAATACCACATCTACTCATTTTTAAGTGGGAGCTAAACATTGATTACACAGGGACTCAAAGAAGGGAACAATAGAAACCAGGGCTTACTTATGGGTAGAAGGTGGGAAGAAGGTGAGGATTGGTAAACTACCTATCAGATACCATGCTTATTACCTGGGTGATGAAATAATCTGTACACCAAACACCCATGGCATGTAGTTTACCTATATAACAAACCTGCACATGTACCCCTGAAATTTTAATAAAAGTCTGAAAGGAAAAAACAAAAACTAGGCAACTTTTTATTTATATTTTTTTCCAAATTAGAAAAAAATTGAGCAATGTTTTTCTTCTCTCTATTCCAGAAAAGATGGAAATACCATTTACTCAAATATATATGCTTAATGTACATTTGTTCCTAAATGACACTATTCTCTTGTTTTAAAAGCCAATCCTTGTACATATCCTTAAATGGAGGCATGTGTTAGCAAAAGACCAATGGAAAAAATCAGGTGCATATACTTAAGTGAAAAAACTATGTCAGAATACATTTCATACTGATAGAAGGTAATAGAGATGAGCAAAGGAAAGCCAAGCACCACATGGAGCCCATTTGTTCCTTCAAAGTAAGATGCAGATTTGGACCTTCAGATAAAAATGTACAAGCTGCCAACTTCAAAGGAAAGAATCAAAAAATAAAAAGCAACAATTGAGAATTATATCTTGCATACATAAACACTTAGTGTGCACGTGTGTTGGTACCTCACAATCATAGAGTATATCTGATGTCAAACCATATTATCCTAATAGCTGAATTAGAAGATAACTGTTAAAAACTCTGAATTCATAAGGCTTGGCATTCATAAAAAAATTCATAAGGTTCTGCAGAAATCCTGGCATATACAACATTTAACATTATTTACATTTAATTAGGAAAAATCAAATCCTACAAAGTCAGTTTATTAGATTTATCCAAGGCCAGTTGTTTATGTAAGTACTGAATCATTAACATGCAGGTTCTTCCATAATTATCAGGCTGTCAGATAAGAAACCTGCTGCTTAGGACAGATAAAGAAACTTGGAGATAGTCACAGATATAAACCCCAATTCACACGACTAGACCATTTGGAAATGTCTTACATGAAAATGTGAATTACTTTACAGAGGCTAACTACAGGGACTCAAATGGAGCAGTGAAAACCAAATTAATGTTGCTTTGTTTTCTTCCTCTTTTTTATATGGAGAATTAAGTAAGAAAATCAAATAGTGAAATTATTTATTACATGGAGCATTGTTTTTATTTAAAGAGTTATTGCAATGCTGAAAAATGTTTTTTTAACATAGATATTTAGATGAAAATGGACCCAAATTATATTATACTTCCATGGATGATAATGATGGCTTAAAATGTTGCCACCCTGTTATTTTGAGTACTATTCCTAATATAAGTTTTGGAATGATTTAGAAATAGGCATATCTGCAGGTTTATTGAATTATTTAATGAGAAGTTAATTATGATGAATCTGTTTTCTATAATGTCTCATTTATGTAAATTCCAAACAATCATACTTTCAATGACACCATTTTCAGACCTGTGTGTTGATTGTCATACAGCTTCTTCCCAATCTCCTTTCTTTATTACTGATGGACTTCAACCAACTTTCACATCTAATGCTTTCTTCCATACCATTTCAGTCAAACCCAGCTCAGCCCCCTGGGTTCCTCAGACTCTCTTGTCAAGCAGGCCCTCCACTATGTCTTTCTTCTTTGCCTGGTGACAAAAATCATGCCACTAGAACAAAATCTTCTTTGTTGCTTCACCTTTTCCTATATATCTCCACTTTATTTAGTGTTAAACTCCCTATGGTCCAAGTCATTGAAACCTTAATTCTATTCTCTTTTACAGAGGATGCAGTCAAACTTTGACCTCTCCAGGGCAACTTGAGCAATATTTTAACAGTTCCTTGAGAGGTTCTAGGGAAGAAAAAGATTATATATCTTAAATAAAATATATCATATACCTCTCTCTCTTAGGGTTTCACAGTGTTAATTAATTAAAAGTGCTGAGAGTACAGAGAAAAAGAAACCTGATTTTCTTTGTTAACCTAATGTTTTCTAATATATTAGAAAATAAAAATTATTTTCATATGATACCTAAGAAAAATTTGGAGAAATGGATTTTAAAATTATTGCTGTTATTGTTTTACACCGTGAATGTTCTCTTTAATAATGCCTTTAGGAAATATATCATCTTTTATTTTTTTCCTATGCAGTCCCATCATCATCCATAATTTTCACATATATTCAAGTTGCTCATGTAGTAATTAAGCCTCACCATATCCCACTCTCTTTAATTCAATTTTTATTTTCATTCTACATCAACTTTCTCAACAGCATGACGACACCCTTTACTTCTCTACCTGAAAATAATACTTTCATTTCCCAATCTCCTTATCTTCAATTCTGATTCCTTTGCCTGACATACCTCCACTCATAATATACAACTGCCAGCACCTTATGTACTTCAGAAACCCTGGGTTTGCAATTCTTCTTAGCTAGCCCAATGCATTCAGTCTTTCTCACTATGCTGCCAGAGGTGAGCTCTACCATCAGTAGTTTTAGGTCTCCCCATCCTCTCTCCTAGGGTGCTATTGTTCCCTTAACTTTTCATGACTAACCTTCAACTCTTCTTTCTTCTGCCACTCTATATTTTTAACTTGCTCCGGCCTCAAATTAATTCTAGAATAATTTAAAGAAACTTCTAGATATGGTCATTTCAACATGACTGCACCAGGTATTACTGGTATAGTAACTTCACAGCATTCAGCAAGATATTAGACATTTGTTATTCTAGTGTTGGCTTTGGCTTGCCTGAATAATGGTTTTGGAGGAGAGATTTCCAACTCAAAGATACATCCATCAGAATTCATGAATTAGAGATACTCCTAGATTAATGAAAGTATCCCTATATCTTCTGGAGATGATTTAAATTACCAGTTTCTCTCAGTTTTCTGAACTTTAATTTGAGAACCAGATTATATCCCTCTTTGGCTAGAATGAGGAAAGAGAAAAAAAGAGAATAAATTTTAGCATTTTTGAAGGATTGACAGAAACTCAAGACTTAATGAAGATCTGCAGAAATGGATTCGGTAATCAGAGATCAATATATGCACATTAGTCTGAAGGGTAGAAATAATATGTCTCAGAAATAAAAACAATCAAAGGTAACTTCCCCTAATCTACAATTCTGGCAGCTATTTTTGATATTAAGTGTCCTACCGACATGTTACAGAAAAAAATGTCTCCTGTTCCTGGTTATCTAGTAGTTAGGATTAAAAAACAATTACCTGCTGGATGTTTTTAGGCTCTCTGACAGGAAGTGCCAGTTTTTGCATACTGTTTCATCCTCTTTCTAACTCTCTGATATTTTCTTCCCATTTACCCCCATAGCATTTCTCCAAGATTCAGGTCTCCTTGTTCGACTCTTCTCACGCTTTCTTTTAGTGATTTTCTTTAGTCTCATGGCTGCAGATAGTACGTTTATCATGATGATTCATAATGAACTGGCCTGGTCACCCCTTCCAGTTCTAGTCTGTGGTTTCCAGATCCAACTCCAGGCTCTAATTCTTACCTCAAGTTAAACAGATCAAAAGCAAGTTCATCTGACCCCAATTTGTCTTTCTTCACATTATACCTTTCTTCTCATTATCAATGCCATGGTCTTATTTTTGATTCTGATTATCTCGTATTTGTAGTATATCAATAACAGCCTAAATAATTACCCCACTCATTCTTTTTATTCTACTCTATCATTTATCACATTGTTTGATTTATCTATCTTAAACATCTCATACCACTTTCCCCCTTGTACATTTTCAAAGATATGGGACATAAAACTAAAGCCTTTAACCCTGCACTTGGGCCCTTTGCAATTTGGCTTTCTCCTAAGTTTTCAAATGTATAATCATTATTCTTTACCCATAGACTTCCTTTCAGCTAATTCCATCTAGTCACTCTCCTTCAACTATGCCTTGCTCATTGCTACCTTGCTATGCCTTTGCTCCTCACTGACCCTGTTCAATAGCCTAGTCCTACCTTTTCTTAAATTTTTAGCCCAAGCATCAACCACTTCATGAGCCTTCCATGACTTTTCCAGGCCACAGTGGACTCTCATTCTATGAATTCTAAAACATTTATGGCTTATACCATTTGTTCATCATTAAATATACAGGGCTTTTATGGATATTTGTGTTTTCCTTGTATGGATATTTGCATTTTACATATGTGTATATGGTACTTTAAGAATTAATTTGCATTCTCCAAAGCTTCTGCACATGTTAGATATAAAATAAATGTCAGTTAAACAGATGAATAATATTAAATGTCTGCAGATACCTAAATTGGGTCACAAAGGGACTTGTGCTAATTCATAGACAGGTAACATTTAGGACTCTTTTAGTATTAGTGATAGTTTAATAAATTATAAACATTTAAAAAATGATAATCCATGTACAGCATGGTAATTCTCAACCTATTTGAGACCAAACTGTAAGGTGACAGGGACTCCACCTTCCTCATCTCTTTTATATCTACCACCTGAAGTGTGAACACTCCAATGCTTAAGCGAAACAGTATTTTAAGTACTCCACACGTTACTTAAACTGAACAAAAAGAACTGCAATTTCACAAAGAAAAATGACCCTGCCATTTTGAACAAAAAATAATAATAAGCCTAGAACTTTATCAAAGATGTAAGATAAAAATGTACATTTTTGAAGGAATAGAATAATCTCGTTTAAAACATTGCCTAGGAAGATGAAAATCAATTCTGTTTACTATCAATCAAAAGCTTTTAAAATATAGGCATATTTTAATGCAGTTATCACTGTACTAGAGAAAGGTGATTTTTAAATAATTATACATATAAGGATGCTCATTACAGCACTGTTTATGATAGCCAGAAAAAGGAAACATCATAATATCTGGTGATAGAAAATGCATTACATGTTAAGGTATGTGTATACATTAGCACAAAATTGAAATATGATCATATGTCATATTAAAGTCATTCTACTCTGATTATGGATTATTTGTATAATTTAAAAAATCAACTCCATCTAACACTGAGACAAGGAAAAAATTATGTCATGATTTGGAGATAGCAGTTGATAAGTGTTTAAGGAAAAGAATTAATAATTTCTTTTCATTTTTATTTTAATATTGGCCTACATATAATATTTCAATTTATACTTTCTATTTATAAATCATTAAATACCTTATAAAATATACCTAATTTGCTGAACATCCATTAAGTTCTAAAGTAAGGTTAATATATAAAATACAATATAAATGTTTTTAATTGGAATTATATTTCTTCTTAGAGAATATAATGCAGGTGCACTACATTCCATTTAGGGATCAAGGGATTAAAGATTTAAATAATTTAATTGTATGTAACCCAGATAAATACATTATCAAGTCATAGTGGCAACACTGACTCTACCCAAAAAGATTACTTAAATAAATTTATTTAGGAGTAGGAATCATCCATTGATTAAAAAAAAAAAGCATCTTTTTTTGGTTTGATATTTCGTAAGTTGTACACACAAGTAAAATTGTTAATTATTATCATGATTATGGTAATAGTAGTAGCAGTATTTTGTACTTACTACAATGTAGCTAAATATCATCTTTCAATAGAAATATTCTCATTTTAAAAATTAATATTATTTATGATGATTTTAAAATTCATATTATTTATGATGTTTCCTGCTTTTGGCTATTATAAACAGTACTGTAATTAACATCCTTATATGTAAAATTATTAAAAGTCAACTATTTCCTTATTTTCTAGTAAGGTAATCACTGCATTAAAATGTACATGTATATCTACACACACACACATGCATAAATATATATATATATATATATATATATATATATATATATATATATATATATTTTAGTTTAATTTAGTTTTATTTTATTTTAAGTTCTGGGATACATGTGCATGACCTGCACATTTGTTACATAGGTAAACATGTGCTATGGTGGTCTGCTGCACCTATCAACCCATCACCTAGGTATTAAGCCTCACATGCATTTATTTATCCTGATACTCTCCCTCCGACTGTGCTCCCCCTATGCAGGCCCCAGTGTGTGTTGTTCCCCTCCCTGTGTCCATGTGTTCTCATTGTTTAGCTCTCACTTATAAGTGAGAACATGGGGTGTTTGGTTTTCTCTTCCTGCATTAATTTGCTGAGGATAATGGCCTCCAGCTCCATCCATGTCCTGCAAAGGATATGATCTCGTTCCTTTTTATGGCTGCATAGTATTCCATGGTATATATTTACCACATTTTCTTCATCCAGTCTATCACTGATGGGCATTTGAGTTGGTTCTATGTCTTTACTATTATTAATAGTGCTGCAGTGAAGATATGTGTGCATGTATCTTTATAATAGAATGATTTATATTCCTTTTGTATATACCTGATAATGGGATTGCTGGGTCAAATAGTATTTCTGGTTCCAGGTCTTTGAGGAATAGCCACACTCTTTCACAATGGTTGAACTAATTCACATTCCCACCAACAGTATAAAAGTGTTCCTATTTCTCCATAGCCTCACCAGCATCTGTTGTTTCTTGACTTTGTAATAATTGCCATTCTATTTATTTATTTATTTATTTATTTATTTATTTATTTATTTATTTTATTATACTTTAAGTTTTAGGGTACATGTGCTATTCTAACAAGCATGAGATGGTATCTCATTGTGGTTTTGATTTGCATTTCTCTAATGATCAGTAATGTTGAGCTTTTTTTCATGTGTTTGTTAGGCACATAAATGTCTTCTTTTGAGAAGTGTCTGTTCATGTCCTTTGCCCACTTTTTAATGGTTTTTTTTTCTTGTAAAAAAACCCATATTTTACAAGATTTTGATTGATAGTAAATAGAATTGATTTTCATCTTCCTAGGCAATGTTGTAATCAAGACTATTTGATACATTCAAAAATGTATGTTTTATCTAATATCATTATTTTTGACAATTATTTATTATTAACATTGATGATAAATAGTATTGTGTTAATATATTATTTATTATGATTAGTATATATTAATTTACAAATACCATTAATGTTATTTATAATACAATTAATTTTTTATAATGAAAAATATTTATATTATTTATGATGAACATATCTATATTACTTTCAGTTAAGTAACATAGATAACTATTGTCTTTACATAGTTATCAATACAACAGTTTTATAAATCAGAAAAATGGCACAGTCTTGTTAGTACTTAGGTTTATTGATTAGCAAATAAAAATATGTGCTAAGGCTTAAATTTCTTTTTTAACCAAATAATTTATTTTATTATTTTCGGTAGTCAAAATCTTAAGTACAATCGGTTGTAATTTGAGCAAATTAATGCTAAAAATGCTTTCAAGTACTTACTGCATCATCTTAGGTTCTCTATATGTTTATGTCTGATGAACAAAGGAAAAATGTGTTTTTTTAAGAACAGTTTTTTTGCAAAGTGTTGTTTCTGAATTGACTACATCAGAATCACACAGGTGTTTGTTTAAAAAAAGTTGTTGCTTCTTGAGCAACGTCCGAAGAATGGAAAAATAATCTGTATTGTAGGACTCAGATATCTGAATCTTTGACAAGCTTCCCAGATGACCCATGGTCCACAGTCAAGTCTGAGAATTAGTGCCCAAGAAGGTACTCTTACAGGGCACCCAATTAGGATCTCAGAAGCTGGTTGTAAAATGTAAAATAAATAAATGTGAATTTTAAGAATTTAGGAGAGTCTTGAGAAAATGTCTGTTTATAAATAAAAGAACTCACCAGAAGGAGGCTTCCAAGAATCTAATAACCCCAATGACTTCCTGCCTTTCTTTTTGTACCAGAAAATGGTAGAAGTAGAAAATAGCTTGTAGGCTCCCACATCAATACATTATCTAAGCACAATCTTTCATTGAAAGCCTTCATTGCCTCATGCAGAGAACTTTGCTACTACTATGCTCTGCCCTAAAGGTATAACAGAATATTATCAGTTTTAACCTGCAGGGCTGCCAACATTCCTGACTTTTCAGATCTCAAGGGATGGGAAAGAGTAAATGGATAACTTTAGATTACATTATAAAGCAATTATTGTTTTAACCTAAGAATTGTATTTCACTATCTTGGCTGTGAATTATAAAACAAACTCTTTTTAAAAGTAGTAGAAATTACTTCTACTGCTAAGTTACTTTTTCAATTATTTTCATCTTTTAGAATTATTTTATTAATACTCATGCTATAGTTTAATATAGAGTTACAGAACAGAAATTCTTTTTTTTTTTTCAAGAACCAAACAACGGCAGCAAAAGGGAGTGAAAGATTGGAGCTTACGGTAAGAAGACAAATACAGGTATACAGTTGACTAGGAAGGCTTAAGGGAACCCAAGCCAGTACTCTCTCCATCTTTTATTTTTGCACCTCCCTGGCCAATTACTTCTCTCCTTTTGCAGACTGGCTTTTTCTCCTTGTCCAGTTTTACATAGTGACAATTATAGTCAGTAACAGATTTGGAAAGTAACTGGTGGCTGTTTTCTTTTTCTCTCTGAATTAGACTATATTTTGTCATAAGTGATAGCCCCACACAAGGGGTAAATAACCGTTAAGGTGTTGGAGGTTTGGGAGAGGGACTCAGACTTGCCAATATTGGTTCTACTACCATCCTTGGATGTGTAATTAGGAGGGTACAAACAGCGAATGGAGTGAGGGATGGAGATGGAAAGTGAGGATCACACTGTATAAACATGATTGCAGGACATCCTGAGGTTTAGGAGAAAGGGGCAATGACAAAAGAAAAGGAATTGTTGTGAAGCCCCTATAACAGAGTTGATGTATTTATCAAGAAGCCTGATGACCAGAAAGCATAAAAAATCTAAAGTGGCTTGACCTGTGATGTATGAACAAGAGGCTTTTTACTTATTTATAGATTTTGTCTAAATTATACAAAGAGATCCTTAAAAGACAGCACAACATAACATTATTAATAGGAAACTTTTGTTTTGTCTGCTATAAGCCAGGTGCCTTATATACACTATTTTATTTGTTTCCTGCAACTGAATGACCATCCCCATTTTACAGATTAAAACATTTATGTTCAGGTGCTACATAAGCAATGAGAGATGAACCTAGGCATCTAAACCGGGTCTGCAGAGCTAAAAAGCCATGCTTACCCCACTACAAGATTTAGATTTTCTGAGTTTGAGACTGCATTCCAAACCAAGCTAACATTTCAATAATAAAAACCATTAGTCACTATACATATAAAATAAATGATCAGAAAATAGGGTACAAAATATGATGGAATCATTGTTTTCTTCGCCCCAAAAAACCCTCTACGTTTTAGAGAAAAACTTCTAAAAATAAGGTCCATATAACCATCTCCTCCCCTGCTCATTTACCTGGATCACTGATGTAGGGGAATATTGTTTATTTTGCGGAAGAAGAGATAAGGGAAATATTCTCCAACTTCTTTGAGGGATAAAGCTGGTATTTTGAGAAGTAGATTTGTTTGTTGCTTTGCAACATTCAATGGCCTAAAAGAGTGTAGTGTCCTGAAGTACTTTCTCTACTTGACTAACTTAGGTACTAGGAAAATTTGTCTTCATTTGTATCTGTACTCTGAGAGTGGGATGTGTTGGGTACCAATTTTCCAGGCTGCTATTTTCGGAACATATGGGCAAAGCTGAAATATATGAACATATGTATGTATGTTTGTG
Organism: Homo sapiens; assembly: GCF_000001405.40. Classification (NCBI taxonomy): domain Eukaryota; kingdom Metazoa; phylum Chordata; class Mammalia; order Primates; family Hominidae; genus Homo; species Homo sapiens. Next base: position 92,607,528 of record NC_000005.10, on the reverse strand, counting down.
TACGTATATGAGCATGTATATTTGTATAAGCAACCACATTTTTATTCTCCCCCTCATCCTCCCTCCCTCTTCTACATTTGGAAGATATTTGAAATATGGAACATGTGTTTGGTGGGCAGGCAGTTGTATTATTTTATAATGATCCACAATCGTGTATGTGTATGTGTGTGTTTCCCTTAACAAATCTGCAAACAATTAATGTGTTCTGTAGCTAAAAATTATTCCTTAGGAATTATTCCCATTTTCTTTGTGAGAACACATTATATGTCCTTCCATGAGGGCAGAGATCATATGTTACAAACTTGTTAAGAAGATTTGAGTTTAAATTATTGCATATGCACCAGTCGAATAAGAATTTGCCAGAATTTAAAAACGTACAAATGTTAATAATTATGATAACTGGCAGTATTATTTTAAGACATTCAGTGTAAAAGCACAGACTGTAGCAATGGGTTTTGTGCATGTGTGAATAAGCATGTGTCTGTGAGGTATCATCTATGAGTATAAGAGTAAAGAGAGTCTGTGATGTGAGTTGTTTCATAGGCAGACATTTTTTGTTTGACAAATTTTGGTGGAGTTAATAATTTTCTTAACCTTTTAAATGCTCAGTTATATTTATAATATGTAATATTTGACAGTGTATCCAAATATCAATAGGTTATAAAATTACACAATTTACCCTTCTCTAGTAATGGGTGCGTTCTTCAAAATGATCCATAGTTTACTATGCCTTCCTTTTCCTATTTCGTTTCTCGGACCTTTGCTTTTAAAATAAATACATTAAAATGGCTAAAAATATGGTTTATTTTTGTAATTTTAAGTCTGGATGGTTCATTTAAAGTCTCCATATCTCAAAAAAAAGTCAAATTTCACCATTAACCGTTTTAGAAAATAGAAATCTATTATAAAAAAATTACATTAGAAAGAACAAAATTTTACTCCACAACTACTTATTAGAAGCTGTTGATATTATGTGTTCATTTAAACATTTTATGGCATTGCAGGTATCTTATATGATGTAAACATTTTGCCCTCTGAACTAGGGCTCTTCATGTTTGAAAATACTGAGGGAATAGATTTCTGGCTTAATCTCTGACTTAATAATGTTCACAGTACCTCACTTTTCTATATTCAGAATATAGCTGTTTTCCAAATATGAACTACGACATACAATGCAGTATGTATAGTGTATATGCATGCTTCAAAGAATAATAGCTATTTGTTTCTCATGTATGTTGGAAAACCAAGGCGAAGAAATAAAAATAAACACGCAGTGTAGTCCTTCACTCAGCACATCTCTGCATGCTGAAGGTGTTTAGCTGAAGCTATTTTACTCAAAGATCCCTTTCCCCTTCAATAAGTCAACATATTCTTGATCAGGATTTATCCAATCTCAATTATTGTTTTATCCTTTGAAAAAATTAATCTGCATCTTTTAAAAACAGCAATCAAAACAAGATTAGTATATTTTTAATGCAGAAGTAGCATACATGTCAGCCTGTTACCCAATTTCTATGGTTCCTATTACAGTTCTCTTATTACAGGCTCACAAGCACTGTTTTCCTAAAAGCACCTTTCAAGTCCCCTGCCTTTCACTGAAATGTGGCTGCTACTGTGTACTTATTTTAAAAATGGCTTGACAGAATTGCTAATGTTCTCATTCCTTCAGGATATTTCCTAATACTTGTAGCCTTTTCATGTTTCTAATTAGGCCAGTAATGGTCCCTGAAGTTAAACCAATTAAAATTATTTACTGTGACACACAGTGTGGAGATAATTATCTGATATCTGAATCCAACTTCTGCTTACTTCGCAACATTACTTAATAGAAAACAGAGAAACGGATGCCCATGCTTTCATTTTACTTGTCTACCAAATGTGTTTGCCCTATAGCAAACTGTTTAAATAAAGCATTAAAATCTTTGTGGTGCTAATCAAAATGTTTAAAATCCACTCACACTCCCTTTATAGTTCTGAAAAGCATATAAAAACTCCTACACATTACCTTTTACATTACAGTTGCTGACCAATGTAGTATTATAGCCACATTATATACAGATAATGCAGCTTTTGCATTTTCTACCAGGCTTACTTTTCTCTATTCCTCCACTCGTTTCATCTAATTATTATTTTTTCCTTTTTAGCATTTCTCTTTTTCTTTGCTTTGCTTTTTTTCTTTGTTTTGTTTCTCCATGCTTTGTTTCAGATTATGTGATTCACTACAAGGGGCACAAAATGAATGCACTTTGAAATATATGTTTCATATGAACAGGAGGTAATTCTGTATAGTCTAAACAGTTTTAAGCATCAAACAAGTGAGATTTATAATCATTTTATTCTTTGCATAGGGTTGGGGGTTTTGGAAATTTGAAGGTTTACAAAGAAGATTTTAATCGACAGCAGAAGTTTTAGCAAAGTTTAGTTCATATTTAATGTAAAGCAAAATCCTGCTAGGAATAAAAAACAGAGAGAGCAAGTAAATCACGTCATAAAGCAATGCTTTTCATTAAAAGTTGGCTGCCATCATGTAGAGAATTTGGATAAATGTAAAGACTGAGCCTGTAAGTTAGGCTTGCATATGCTGTAGTTAAATGCCAAAGTGCAGTCTCATAAAGAATTATAGCTTAGACACTTTGAGAACATTTAGCCCATAATCCCAATGCAAATTATTCTAAGAGAAAATTGAGTTTCATGCCAAAATGCTACCTTGAGACTGGCAATGTACAGTTGGACATTTAGCCTGATCTTAGGATGGATTCCTTTACTGTTTCCTGCTTTTTTTCCCCAAATATTCATGAACATCAGTACAGATACGGTACACACCATTTTCCAAGTCACCATGTGCCTAACTGGAGGCGCCTGGCAGTTTATAATGACTTTAATTTGGAGAAACAAACTGCAACAGGGAGAATTTGGGCATGCCATTCAATTCAGAACCATAGCCCAAGAGCTTGGTTTTCAGGAATTTCCAGTCCAGGCTTTGGATCCTGTTTGAGAATTCCTGCTTATGAGGGATAATCTGAGATGCCCAGTAACTTTCCCCTGCAGATAGTAAGGGAAATGTTTGCCTGTATAGTGATATGCTTGAAAAGGCATGAGGTCATTGGAGTGCCAGGAAAAGTACTAGAGACTGTTTAGAGAGACCTTGAGACCACTCAGATGTGGGATGCAATTCTTTGTAGAAGCTCTCCTTCCTCTGGCACTGCATTTAATCTTAGCAGAACTAATGTGTTCTTGGTGGTTTATGATTTAAAAACTCTGTGCTTCTTTTTCTCCTATACCACGTATTTTGCACATACTTTCATTAATACAACAAGCTTATTGCATTCTAATTATTTGTCTATGTTGGTGATATGGTTTGGATTTGTGTCCCCACCCAAATCTTATGTGGAATTGGAGGAGGGGCCTAGTGGGAGGTGACTGAAGCATGGGGGCCAATTTCCCCCTTGCCGTTTTTGTTATAGTGAGTGAGTTCTCACAAGATCTGATGGTTCAAAAGTGTGTGGCACTTTCCCCTTGGCTCGCTCTTTCTCCTGTTCCATCATGATAATACGTGCTTGGTTCCTTTACACCTTCATGATTGTAAGTTTCCGGAGGCCTCTCAGTCATGCTTCCTGTTAAGCCTGCAGAACTGTGAGTCAATTAAACCTTTTTTCTTCATAAATTATCCAGTCTCAGGTAGTTCTTTATAGCAGTGTGAGAACTGACTAATACAGTTGGTAAATAGATCTTAAATTTAACTACAGTCAAAAGCATTTCTTCAAAATTAGTGATTTTTGGAATAGATGAGGGTATGGATAATTAATTTTAAAAACACTTAAAAGATCAGCAAAAGATAGATACTCCAACTATTTTTACTAATCTAAACTTTGCTATCTTTTAAATTTTTATGTATGCACAATATTTTATGTTAATTTATTTGATACCATATGTACTGTATCAATATTATCTTTGTTTTCTCAACTATTTCAGGATTGTGGTCCAAGTAGCCATGGCTTAGAAAGCATTTAACACAGAGAAGTTTACATAATAAATATTCAGTTGTTAAATTTTATATATAATTCAAGAGCTATGGATTTTGTGCTGTGAATACAAGTGCTTAGGGATAAATGGGATGCAGGAATAAATAAAATGACTGAGTCCCTCTCCTGAGGATTAAAGTCTGAGAGAAAGAGAAGAGACAATAAGCATATTAATAAATAAGATTATATCAGGCACAAATAAATGCAAAGAAAAAGATAAAGCAGGATAGTGAAGTAGTTACCAATGATAGGAGTTGATATTTCATTCACTATGGCAGTTGGTGCCAAACTATAAGAGAAAGTCATGTGCCAAGGTCTGGAGAACAGAATGAACTTGGATTGTCTGGGCAGTATCACTGAAGGGAAAAGAAAAAGAGGCAAGAAAAAGGATTTGAGTTTAGAGATATAGGCAATATCCAGATCATAAAGTATTTATGGATTATGCTAAGGCCTTGAAATCTTATATTGATGTTAGGCTGCAATTGGAAGCCACTAGAGGATTTTAAGCATGGAAGTGAAACAATCTGAATTTACTTTTAGAGAAAACGTGAAGCTCCTAAAGGTTAAGTAATACACAGCCTTTCAATGTTGAGAAAAAGGTTGAAAATTACTGAGTGAAAAGTTTTAATGTTTGAAAAAGAAAATGACTATAATAGATTACTTAATAATTTAAAAAAGCAACTACATCTGTGTACAAATAACTCTATTAGTTTGCTAGTGCTGCCATAATACACTAGGTGTCTTAAATAACAGAAAGTTATTGTCGTACAATTCTGAAGGTTAGAAGTCTGAAATCAGGGTGTTGGCAGGGTTGGTTCTGCTATGGACTGAAAAATTGTATCCACCCAAAAGGCGTAAGTTGAAGCCATAACCCCTCATGTGATGGTATTGGAGGTGGGACTTTGGGAGGTAATTAGGTTTAGATGAGATTGCAAGGGTGAAACCCCCATGGTAGAATTGGTGTCTTTATGAGAAATGTCAGAGACCAGACAGAGCTTGCTCTCTCTCCACCATAGTAGGACACAGTGAAAAGGTGCCTGTCTGTAAGACAGGAAGAGGGCACTCGCCAAAACCTAATCATACTGGAACCCTGATCTTGAACTTCTCCAAAACTGTGAGGATTGCATTTCTATATGGTATTTTGTTATAGCAGCCAGAGCAGACTAAAACTGATTCCTTCTGAGAGCTATAAGGGAAGAATCTGTTCCAGGCCTCTCCCCTTGGCTTGTAGAAGGCCGTCTTTATTTTCACATGGACTTCTCTTTGTAAACATGCCTAGATCCAAATTTCCCCTTTTTTGTAGGACAACAGCCCTATTGGAATTGAGGCTCACTCCACTTCAGTATGACCTCATCTTAACTGATCACATTTGCAGCAAATTTATTTCCAAATAAGGTCCTATACTCAGAGGTACTGAAGATTAATACTCCATCCTGTGAATTTGGGGGGGATGCAATTCAATTCATAACAATAACTGTTTTATTAAACAAGCTGAAATTATTAAAGTACAAGTAGTAAAAAAAAAAAAAAACAATTCTATGTTAACAACCCTTTAAAGTTACTCTGCAGAATATTTCTTCCTTACTGCATAGATGAAATCTTGATCAGATTCTCTAATCTGGCCTTTTTTTTTTTTCTAGTTCATGTGATTTTTTTCATCTCAAGAATAGCATTATTTTAAAAATTAAAACTTCTACCTCGTGGCATAATTGCATAATTTCTTATATGTGCAATGTAAAATTTCTTCCTTCTTACCTAATTATCTCTTTAGCTGAGGAAGCCTAGAGGATTTTACTCTGATTATACTCTCCTAGGAGAAGGAGGGTATAGTCAGACATTCTGACTTTCCTAGCTCCAACTCCTACTCTCCCCGTTCGGTTGCCTGATTTCTGATCCCTTCCGAAAGGTGGAGAGAGTGATTTAGGGGAAAGGGTCTTATTAGAGACCACAACTGTGTACGAGGCTAGGGAGATGTTTAAAACTGGCTTTGATATTTTGGGCTACTTTTGTAGGTTAAAAAACAAAGTTGGCCGGGCGTGGTGGCTCATGCCTGTAATCCCAGCACTTTGGGAGGTCGAGGCGGGCGGATCACGAGGTCAGGAGATCGAGACCATCCTGGCTAACACGGTGAAACCCCGTCTCTACTAAAAAATACAAAAAAATAGCCGGGCGTGGTGGCGGGCGCCTGTCTTCCCAGCTACGTGGGAGGCTGAGGCAGGAGAATGGCGTGAACCCGGGAGGCGAAGCTTGCAGTGAGCCGAGATCGTGCCACTGTACTCTAGCCTGGGCGACAGAGCGAGACTCCATCTCAAAAAGCAAACAAACAAACAAAAAACAAAGTTATTGGAACTTCCCACTGCAACACCATGGTAAAGGGAAATGGGGTGATTTACTCTCTTAGGACACTGGCACTCAGGTCCTATGTGCTTTCTATCCAGACCATTTTTGTCAAGGCCATTTCCCCTTTACATGGCTGTCTTGAGCAGAGTCCTATCTCAGATGGCTCTAGGCTTTTGTGTTAGTTCATTCTTGTGTTGTTGTAAAGGAATACCTGAGGTTCGGTAATTTATAATGAAAAGAGCTTTTATATTGGCTCATAGTTCTGCAGGCTTCACGTGAAGCATAGTGCTGGCATCTGTTCCTGGTGAGGGCCTCAGGAAGCTTACACTCATGGCAGAAGGCAGAGGGGAAGACAAGGCATCACATGGCAAGAGCAGGAGCAAGAGAGATGGGGGAGGAGCCAGGCTTTTTTAAAAAAAACAACTGATTTGCATGTGAAGGAAAAGAGCAAGAAGTGCCTTATTACCATGGGGAGGGAACCAAGTCCTTCATGGGGGATCTGCCCAACCCCTGTAACCAAAACACCTCTCACTAGCTCCCACTTCCAACATTGGAAGTTTCAATATGAGATTTGGAGGAAATAAATATCCAACCCGTAGCAGCTTTCGCTTGTAGTCAACTTTCAAGGCTCTTGAACCACATGCATTTTCTCTGCCATGTGACACTAGGACAGTTTGCTTCCGGTGAATCTCACCATATGTCAGCTAAGAGCCATGTTGCCTTTTTTGTTTTGATTTCCTAAATGAGAGTCAGAGACTAGACTACCATATCCCTAATTCTAGTGCTCACAACACCAGTTATCTGAGTAACCCCCTTAAAGCCTTCTCTGTGGTCTTTAATTTAGAAAAATGCAGCCTCTACAAATTTCTCATGGGAAGGGCTTGGATTACTATTTAGAAGAGAGGAGGATGGGAAACTTTTACAACATTCTCAGATTTTGTTTTGGAAAAATGTTTCTCTTCCTGGTGCTGTTTGATTTCAACATTTTATTATTTGCTTACAAAGGTGTTGCATGAAGGGTCCCCTCATCACATTTAGGGAGCTCTTCTTTACAGGCCTGGCATGCAGACGAGATGACACCAATTCTTTTGTTGTGAAACTTCATGGTCTCACTTGAAATAAAGGAGTCCCATTTTGCCATGTGACATGTTCCCATGTTACTCATGTGACAGTGAAGTTCAGGTTATAGGAGGAAAGGAATCAGCTAGAGTCACACACAAAGTACTTTTGGTTCATGGAGGTCCTTCTGCCTGCATTTGAAGAAGTCACCAATAAGATGATTTTCTGGTGTATGTCTATCCGTAATTAATAGAAGCATCAGATTTGTTTTGATTCCCTCTAGAGATACATTTACCTCAAATATTCTGATAATACTCTTAAAATCAGGGGATCTTCTCTAGCACACAGGTGATATATTGCTCCAGATCTTCGTCCATGAGCTTTGGGAAGGCTTAAGGGGAATGCAGAATGTCTCTCAACATATTTTTGGTGCTCTGCTCACATGCCCTTTCCTGGCTGGCTCCCCACCCACTACTGGAGTGCTGGAGCTAATCACTTTCACCTGTGGTCCCTGGAGACTTGCCTTTGCCTCACCATAGCCAGCTCACTGGAGATGGCTGGGAAATTAAACTCTCTACCCAGGGAAAGCCAATAAATACTAGGGTAGAAAAGCCTGGCCTTTCTACTTCAGGACCCATAAGCTTGCTGTGTCATTATACTGGGCTCCTCTTGCTGTTGAAGCCATTGTTAGACTTTACCCAAGACCATAACTTGCTTCACTTCCCCTTTCCTTTCCCTGTTCCTTCTTCTTACTGAGAGATTTTTCCTGAAAACACATTTCTCCTGAATGGGGAGATTTTAACCTACTTATTCTGTTTATATAGTAGCTAAAATTTCTAGTTCTCTTTGGATTCAAATGTAATAATGTCTAATTTTCTAAGAATGTGTCTATTTCACCAAATTTAATGACAAATATTTTTATGATATTCTTCTATGCTATTAATCTCTACTGAACCTGCAATTATATTTCCTGTTTCACTCTGAAAATTATTTTTACCTATATTTATTCCCTTCATTACAGAGGTTTTTGTGTTTTATTCTCTTTTTCTAAGAAGTGGTTTTGGCTTTATTAATTAACTTTAATATTAGATATCTATTTCCTTAATATCTTTTCTTTATTATTTGTTTTCCTTTGCTTTTTTTGCATTTATTCTTACTTTTTCTAACTTGTTACCTGTTTTATTTTCACGATCATTTGTATTAACATAAATACTTAAGCAAATACATTTCCATATCTGAACTGGTTTTTATGCTTCCAACAAGTGTTAGGTATAATTTTCTTCTTTTTCACTTCTGAGTATTTTCTAGTTTTCATTATAATTTTCTTTGATACATAAGTTGTTTTTTTATTTCATTTCTAACATATTTTGAGTCATTGATTTCTTATGTAATATTTTAGTGGTCAGAGAATACGGTCTATACAGTATCAATTTTTTCGATTTTCTTTAGAACTGCTATTGGCCTAGTATATGATCAATTCCTATAAATCTTTCCTATACCTTGGGGGTGGAAGTGTATTCTCCAGTTGTTGCTCTTGCAAGAAGTTATTATATTTAGGTTCATTGATCTGTATGGTGTTGTTTCTTTTAGATCTGTTTGAGTGTTTGCCTGTTCAATCTATCACTGAGAGAGATATGTTAATATCCCTCTTTATCACGTTGGATTTAGCAGTTTTTTCCCAACAGTTTTATTGATTTTTGCTTTATGTATTTTGAATCTGAATTTTAGGTTAACCCTAGTTTAAGAATTATTGTACCATCCTGGTTAATTAAAAGTTTTGGGCCAGGCGCAGTGGCTCACTCCTGTAATCCCAGCACTTTGGGAGGCCGAGGCAGGCGGATCACGAGGTCAGGAGATCAAGACCATCCTGGCTAACACAGTGAAACCCCGTCTCCACTAAAAATACAAAATATTAGCCAGGCGTGGTGGTGGGCACCTGTAGTCCCAGCTACTCCGGATGCTGAGGTAGGAGAAAGGTGTGAACACGGGAGGTGAAGCTTGCAGTGAGCCGAGATCCCACCACTGCAGCCTGGGCAACAGAGCGAGACTCCGTCCCCCCCAAAAAAAAAGTCTTGACAGCGCATTATTGCTGTCCTTACCACCAATGCTTATTTTTTCCTCAGTTTGTTTTGGCCTTTGATTGATATACCAAAATCTCACAAATCACCACTAAACATACAGCTATCTTCACTCTCCTTTAGTTGCTATTTGCTTGATATATCTTTTTTCCATCCATTTTGCTTCTTATCTTCTGTAGCCTAATGTTTTAGATTTGTCTTTTTCAATCAACATATTTACTTTACTCATTTTGGCAAACAATTTTTATGACTTCCCTCAGATAGTAAAATATTGAAATTGGAGTACAAATAAGCCAAGAAAAGAGAGTGGTTCTCAGTCCTGCGACATTTGAATAGGTTAACACACCTAGAATGCATTCCACTCTTTACCTTGCTCTTTTCTTTTGCACTTACTGTTTGTACTAACTATTCTTTCTTGCCAGAAGTGCTTTTTGATGGTTGCTTTCTTTGTCCTCAGATATGAGCTTAAATGTCACCTTCTTAGTCATCTTCTTTGACTACATTATAGAAAATGGGTTTCCACATGTATTCTCTTAGTACCTCATTTTTTACCACCACCAATTACCTTCTGTATTAATTTCATCTATTCATTCATATAGCATTTAGAGTGAACACACTCCAAATTCCACAAAAGCAGGTCTTTTTATCTTTCTTGTTATCCATTGTAGTCATAGTACCTAGTAGAGATCTTGACACACAGTAGGCACTCAATAAATATTGGCTAAAAATGAAATAAGTCATATTTAAAGAAAAGATAACTATTTTAAAAAGAAGTCAATACCTTGGGAAATGCTGAAAATGAGAATCATAAGCACAGATTGGCAATGCTCCCCTCACCCAAAATTTTCCAGGATACAAGGTCAGTCTAGCCAACCGAGACTGAGAATATCGGCCCCAGGCAAATTTATTCTCCCTCTGCCACTTCCTTGCTTTGTGATCCTGAGCAAGTTAATTAACTCATCTGGGCTAGTTTCTTCATTATAGAGATAATAATAGAACTTCTTACAAGGATTTTTATAAAGATTAGATGAACTAATTCATATAAAGTACTTTAACAGTGGTTGGCACATAGGAAGTATTCCATAAGTCTTAGCTACTAATATTATTAAACTCATGTCTATTGAGAGATGGATACATTATCATGCTCTACTAGCATGATGATGTTAAAACATTCAATCAATCTAATTCCCACTTGCTTTGATTCCATATTCACAAAATAATTTCCCAGTGATTGTTTTGCTTCACTTTTTATCTGCAGGTAGGGGAAGAACTGTCTGGCCCCTTGCTTCAGATATATGACTGTCAGTTTCATTGTAAATTCACAAAGTAATATTATGATGAATTGACTCATAAATCTGTCCATAAGGGGAAATTATCTGGGCAGACATCTAAACATAGAATATGCTGGTTCCCTGTGTCAGTTATTTTTTGTTAACTAATTAATATGAGGCTTTATTCATAGCCACATGAACTTTAAACATAAGTAAATCCGAAATTATTAATCTGCTTTGGAGATGTTGAGAAAAGTAGGTTGAACTACAGATTGGTGACTTTCTGGACAATGAAAGTAACTGTCTTAGGAGAGAGTGGGCAGCCTTATCCTAGGCAGACAGAATATGATCTATTTACGCTGTCATATGCAGAGCTTTTTGCTCATTTTCAATTTTAGAATTTATGCTAGTATCTTTGTTTTATAGATGGTGATCAGAAAGTAAAATAAGTTGCCTAAGGTCTCAAGAGCATAAGTGGCAGAGCCTATATTCACACTCCACTCACCAATAGCAAAAGCTCCTCACTGTATAAAAATAGTTCCAGTAATAGTAAATAGAAGGTTGATCAGAAAAAAAACTCCCTTTAATGATAAGAAAGTAATTTAAAATATTTGTTTAATAGTGATAACTTTATTTTAAAAACCTTTGCAAAGTCAAAAGAACGTTTAAAAATATCCAGGTAGACTGAACAATACAAGTAGGCTGAAATGCCAGGAGAGAATTCTATAGTGAAGAATAATGCATAGTAATATCGACAAAAGGAAAGAACCACAAATAGATTTTTAAAATTGCTGAGCAATCTGGAAAACAGTAATAATAATAATGACAAATAAAGCTCAAGGACAGTGATAGAAAAAGTAAATATTTACTTGAATGTGATTTGGAAAGAAAAGCCAACATTTTTAAGAAGACTTATATAAAAAGGCTAACGCTAGAAATAAATTTGTCTGGGTGCGGTGGCTCATGCCTATAATCCCAGTACTTTGGGAGGCCGAGGCGGAGGGATTGCTTTGAGCTCAGGAGTTCGAGACCAGCTTGGGCAACATGGCAAAACCTCGTCTGTAAATACACACACACACACACACACACACACACACACACACACACACACACTATTCGGGTGTGGTGGTGCATGCCTGTGGTCCCAGCCACTTGGGAGGCTGAGGCTGGAGAATCACTTGAGCCCTGGAGGCAGAGGTTGCAGTGAGCCGAGATCGCACCATTGCACTGCAGCATGGGTGACAGTGAGACCCTGTCTCAAAATAAATAAATAAAATAAAATAAAAACAAATTTGAAGAAATTTTTATAGTACCCCTAAGACTTTTTTTTTCAATTCTACTACTGTTCTGCTTCAATTTTTTCCTTCACAGCACTATTGCTGTTTTTTTCTCTTCTAGTCATAGATCTTTTAGCAAATGCTAGAGGTGCAGTCAAAATAGTCCACCAATATCAACCCCTTTAGAAGACCATCTACTCTGCTCATTCCTTTATTTCTTACTACCTGTGTCCTTATATTACACTGTGTGCCTTTGTAGTTAAGATATTCATCAAATTTTTCCTTGTGAGCTTGTCTTTCAGCTCTGTAAAACAATTTTTTAACATAGCTTATTTTTATATTTTAGTGTCTTTTTATAGTTTAAATAGATACTTAAATAGAATTTTCCACAATAGGATTACTGCATTTCATGTAGAATTTTCAGTTTGTTTAAGACTAGATTCTTGGCCCTAATATGGTTAAAGAAATTGAATTATATACAAATGTTAAGGGAGAAAAACCTACCAATATGTGCTTAAGTAATTGCCAAGGAAGGCAAAAAAGTGAAGATCGTAGCAGTAGAAAGAGCATTTTCAAAAATACGGACTGGTACCTAGTTCTAAGACTTTGGGCAAATGTTTCAACAGTTTCTGAGTAGCAAAATGGTGTAAATAATGCTGAATTCATACATATGATCCCCTAGATGTACGAGAATTTTTGCTTTATAAACAAACATTTTTGAGTAGAGCAATTGTTTCTTACTACTTTTCTGATTTCCATTGTCTTAATCAGATTGTACCTCTTCTATAAAGACATATTTCCCCATAAGAATTCTCTTTTATGAAGTTTTTAGTGAATGTTCTTTTAAAAGGGTCCTACTCTACTGAGAACAATAGGAAAATGTGAAATTTAGATGGCACAGATTTAGAAGAAGTAATAAATATGGTCTCTAAGATACAGCCTAAGAAACAAAAAGCTCTATTTTCTACCATTATACCAATTAAATGACAAAGACAATCACTACAATATAGTAATTTTAGGTAATATTTCAAAAAGTGTATACACTGTATTAAACTTAGTCTATAAAAGTTTTTAAAATATGCTTTCCATAATACTACTAAATGGAATGCATTGCACTGATAAAAGTTATACAGTTCTGTAGGTAGTCTGTCAATGTAAGCAAATGACAAGTGATTCCAGTCCTAATGTCAGCCTGCTAATCACCACAGCTAATCAGACCTGGCATTCTCATGGTTCAGTGGCCAGCAATGGAGTAAATGGCCAGTCCTTGGCATTAAGGAGTTAAATACTCCTTAGTCCACACTTTGAAAAGTTTTGCTCCATGCCCTTTTAGACAATGACTAGCTGTTAAGCTCAAAACTAATTAACATTTCAAAAACTAGTGTTAATCAGTATTAGGAAGACTCTAGGGAAACACTTCCCTGCAGAGACCCTTTTCTTCCTTTGCTTTAGAGCAATAACTTGTAAAATATTACTTTAATTTTAAGTTGTGTTTGGCACATAGTAAACAAACCTGAAAAAAATGTAAACTAAAAGAAATGGAACCCAGGTTGGGTTCCTTATTTCTTATTCTCTTGAATAGAGGCAACCTCTATTTCCCTGATTTTACTTACCTATAGAAACCAATTCTAATAAGTACAATAATCTCGCTCTTAAATATGGGTCCATAAACTCATACCCATAGAATGTAAGAGTGGGTTCAGCTTAATTCCTTACAGTATTACTCTATCACTGCTGTTACCTGCAGATTTAGTAATAGGGCTGTAAGAATGTCAAGTTCTATAAGATTAATTTAATCTGACTTAAAAATTAGTATTTAGACTCAAAAACAGTTTTTGTGACCAAAATTCCTGCCCACTCCTTTATTTTACACATGCAAGAACTGAGGCCCAAGATCAGAGAAGTAGCTATGGATAGACATCAGTTTTGAAATACTGATGAAATACTCTCTACTCTCCTCAGTGATGAGTATTTGATCAGATGATAGTAATTGTGTGTTTAAAATTCTAGTTTCATTTAGTTGGGTATGTAAGTAGCAGTAAACCACTATTTTCCTAAGAATATATATGTAAAATATTTTTAAAGATTTTTTCTCCATAGACATGTTCAGAAGGTAACATGTTTCCTTGCTAGATGCAGTTTTGTGTAACACTTTTAATAAGGACTTGGTGGCATATTGGATTACGTATGGACTCTGGGCTTATGTTCTTGATCCTCCATGTGATAGCCATGTGTCCTTGCAGCTAAGGTCGTCCTGCTGTTTTCTTTTCACATCTGAAAAAAAGGTAGATAATAATAATACTTACCTGATGCTCACTGTGAGGCTGAAAGGAAATAGTATACATAGTCTTACTGGGCACATAATAAAAGTTTAATAAAGTACTAAAATAGATAAAAAGGTATTTAGATGGCAAGAAGGTCAGGACCAAGTGGAAAAATCAGCTCATATCATGGAACATTGAAGTACTATAAGATGCCTCTGAAACCATGGATACATTTGTGGGGGTACTTTTCCTTTTGTGGTAGTTTTATCAAAGAAGCTGCATGTGACAATATAGATATGAAGTGATGTGTTCCTTGTTACCTTGCCTTTAAAAAATGAAATAAGTGGTTCCAGAGAGTTCATGGGAGAAAAAATAATCTGAGAAAGGACCTCATACCTGTGAAGATTTCAAATAGTCACAGTGAGAGCGATGGAAGTCATCACCGACGTTTTTTTTTTTTTAACCTTACAGGTTGCATCTCACAAGCTGAGTAACAAATATAATCTTGAAGCCTATAATGATTTGAGGTTGTGGGGAAAACGATACTGAAGACTTCTGCTTTGGTTGGCACAATGTGCTCATCTAAAAGCCCTCTATGAATTGTCTTTCTTCCTGGCAGTCCAAGGCTCTGCATTGCCTTAATGTAACCTTGAGAGCTTTGCAATAGATTTTTACACTTAATGACATGCAGTCCAACCAGCTTACAAAAACATATGGTTTGGCCACCAAAGCTGAGACAACTTTTCTCCTAAATTGAACTCATTACTAACAAAGGAAGTAGTGTTCTATGGATTTAAGTGTAGCTAAGAAAAACTGAGATTTTCCTCAACCACTGTTTAAAGATATTTTGCCAGCTGTTTTAAACCCAGTCTTGAAATGATAAAGGTGGAAGAAGGAATAGTGACACTGCCCTTCATACCTCTTTTTCTTAATTCTAGTAATTATACTCTTGTACTTACAAAACAACAAAAATTGCAAGATGGTGCTCCGTTCTGTCTTCACGTTGAGTTTTTTGAGGCTTCAAACCCCACGGACCTCATCTACCCTGGAGGCTCCAGGGTCCAGTGTGTATGTGTGCCACACAGTAGGAACTCTGTAAATATTTATGGTTTCTGTTCACTTCATTCATTTATTCTATCTAAGAACATACAGGGTAGATCTGCTTCCCATGTGTGTAATAACTGGAAGGTCAGGAAAGACTGGGAATAGAGGAGGAAGACCGTCTTTCAACTTGAAAAGCTTACCTAATTCCAAAGTTTTGTGACTTTTGGGTAAACTTGCCTCCTGATGTTTAGGCAATAGGCAAAAACTGGCTAAGAAAGGATTATTTAGGAGGCAGAAAGGGCTGTAGAAAAATTCCAAAACCAAGAATTAAAGCATAAGAACCAATAGTAAAGAATGGATGATGGATGGCCTGTTGTATACAATTCTGTGTACATTTATTTAAAAAACATTCAAGTTGAATAAAATTGATTTTTTAAACACAAAAAGCAACTATGTATGTCAAGAATATCCATTGGGTGAAAGCAAATTATGAACATTTCTTGCAAAATTTATGGTGTGTATAATATCATAGGTTATTAGAAAGCATGGTTTTATATGTACAGGAAAATAACGAATGCACCAAATGTTCAATAATGTTTATCTCAATGGAAAGAGTTGATATCTAAGGGAGGAGGGACTTTTTCTTTCTTTCTTTCTTTTGTGAGATGCAATCTCTCTCTGTCACCAGGCTGGAGTATAGTGGTGCAATCTTGGCTCATTGCAACCTCTGCCTCCTGGGTTCAAGCAACTCTCCTGCCTCAGCCTCCCGAGTAGCTGGGATTACAGGCGCGTGCCACCACGCCCAGCTAATTTTTGTATTTTTAGTAGAGACGGGGTTTCACCATGTTGGCCAGGATGGTCTCGATCTCTTGACCTCATTATCTGCCCACCTCGGCCTCCCAATGTGCTGGGATTACAGGCATGAGCCACTGCGCCTGGCCCTGTTCTTCTTCTATATAATGCCTACTTATAATGTATGAAACTCAGCAGCAACTATGATTTACACTTCTAATAAGATAGTAGTGAAGAGCACAAACTCTGTGTTTGGATTTTTTGGGATCTTCTGATTACTAGTTAGTAGTTAATATCTGCATGCTTCTGTTTCCTCATCTGTAAAATGATGATAATAATAATTCTAACCTTATAGAATTTTGAAGGTTACATGGGATAAAATATATAAAATTTATCCAGTGGTGACTGGAAGGTAGGAATATTCAGTAAATATTCCTTCACCGGAATATTATTTATTATTAGTGATATCATTTTTGTTACTAATCAGGAAAAGCAGAAACATTTTAAAAGACTAAAAATACACTTGGAAAGGATCTGATTAAAAACATTAATTTTAAAATTACTTTGTGTAACGTCTATTAGATCTAGGTCTGCATAACCTCCCCCTAGTAAGAGCTTCCTTGACCATTTTTTCAAAGTGTGTCCCCTAGTTTTTCATCCCAACATCAGATTCATTTTCTTCTTTACGTGTCTCATTTGATCATTAACTACATATGTGTTTATTTATTTGTTCATCTGCTACCTTCTTTGGGAAAGTGTTAATCCCATCAGGCAGTAACAACATTGCACAGCAACACCATACAGCTCTGTATACTCAGTCTTAACACAGGGTCCAGCCATACTACATAGACCATTAATATTTGGGTCAATGCTCTTTGGCTTCATGTGACATGCACCCAGTTCCAATTTTCAAAAGAGAAGTATCTGTTGGCTTGGGCAACCAACCATGGAAAAATATGAGTATAGTAGGCTTCCCTGCAGTCTAGATCCAGGGACCCCACAGTGTCCATATGATGTCCCTCTTTCTCTTTACCTCTTTTCACCTTTTGAAGGCTTGTTGTGTTGCAGAGGCCATGATTGCTGACAAGCCTGAGACCACATCCCCATAGCTTGTCCAAAGAGAAATAGAGAACTTGACACTAGCCAATCCTGGGTCACATGTACAATTCTTGGTGGGAGTGGGAGTGTGCAGACTATTACCCCCTGAACCCAAGGAACCCAATGCTGTTAACAGATTTTTTTTAAAGGAATGCTAGAAAGAAAGGGAAAAAATTTACTTTCAATGAAGTCTGTTATGTAAGACAGTATAGTTGCTTTCAGACTTTATAAGCTGGAAGTACTTTCAAAGATTTTTCTTAAGAAATAAAATTTAAATATAAATCTCAGGCCACATTTATGTAATCTAAACAAAAGGTTTTATGCAGGTGGTAGAGATGAACATAAACCGTTGATATCGCCAGCCCACTTCTCCCTTGTGGCAGGAGAGCAGTTGCTGAATGCAGAAATTCAGAACTAATTGTTGGGGGCCAGGGTAATAGATCACGGGTAACTGGAACTGCTTCCAATGACATGCTAAAAGTCTTCTATACTTCCATCCTTAGGATCCAAGTCATGGAAGCATGCAAGAAAGAAAACTTAAAAACTGATTCTTCCATAGCAATTTCCAGGATTAAAGTGGCATAAAAACCTCATATGGCATTAAAAATCCAGTAACACAGAATTTTATCTTTATATTAGATTCTATTATATATTTATTACTTGGAAAAGAAGCTCAGGAAACATTCTCTAACCAAAATAATATTATAATTGAATCATGTTCAAAAGAAATGGGACGATATGATGCCCATCTTTCTTTTTCGTTTTGTTATTATTTTTACTCTTTATCCACTGCTGCTCCACCTACTATAAACATAAAATTAATGAGTCTGGATGACTGAATTGAGAAATTAGTGAGACTTAGCTTCTGAAATTTCTAGCAAAGGTTTTTCAGAATTAAAGATGGTTGTCTTTGAATGCCTAATGTTTATATTGAAATAACTTTAGCCTTTGATCTTACAAGGTTATATAAAAATTTGTGTGGTTTTGTACTTGATAACCACATATTATTTTTAAAAAGTAGTTATGAAAGGTGATGGTAGACTTGGTGGTGTTCCATGATCCATGAATGGACACACACAAGGTCGTTAACTGATGGAGGAGGTTCACCAAGGAAAATCTACTGCTTTGATAAATGCAGATGATGATTAAGTATGTGACATTGTTCCCATTTATTTGGTGCTGAATCAATCAGTGCCCAAGTCAGCCTGATGCAATGGGCTACTCTAGATGTGGTCTTCTGAATAAGGCAGAGTGTTAAAATGAGGTCATGACCACTTTTCATGCTACTTTTTTTGCTTGGCTACATTCCAGTTTCTCTAATTAAAGTCTGTCTTTCTGAGATCCCTTTACAGTTTTAATTGGGTATGTTATTTCTTCTGAATTGTATGGAATTGTTATTCACTGTCATAAGCAGTGGCTGTATTTCACCATAGAGGTGGTTGCATTTCATCATAGGGATCAAAGGAAGGGAAACATGAATATAACTTTTTTAGGAGCACTTTGCAATGCTTTGAGCTCTTTGGAAGAAAGCACTATAAAGGAAAATAATGGTGTTCTTAAAATGTAAAGTATTGCTATTATCATTTGTGAAAGAAAAGCTGGAGATTGAGAATGTGTTTTCTAGTGAAGTTCAGGAAAATATTATCTTACTGTTTCAGAAAAAGGACATAAATATGATTATTATTTGCAGATTTATGAAAAAAATGTTGTTGTTATCTCTAAGAAGTCTGTTTTTTATCTGTGTTTAGGGAAAATTGTTGGAACTCCTAAGCCTTTATACTAGTTTCTTAGTGCTGGGAAGCCTACTATTCCTGTCCCTTAGTTTATATGTTAGCTAAGGTTTTTTTACAGTTAATTTTGTCTTTCTTCTATACAGATTGACAATCTATATTGAACAAATATGCTCTTAAACAAATAATAAATTTTCACATCACACTGAGCTTTTGTTTAACCTATTTTAATTGCCTTAATTGATTAGCTGAATTACACCTCTTGGGGGGTGCACACCCACACACATATACATAAACACATACAAAACAACAGACTCTTTAGTACAATGTTGGATGGAGCAAAGTGTAAAATACCGGTTTCTACTCCAGATATAATAACCAATAAAGTTATTGACTATTTTCCGTGTATTTTTATTTATTATAATTAAGAAATGAGGATGATTTAAGAGAAAACAGTAAAACAGAATACATTAAAACTGAGGACAAAAAAGAAATATGACTAGATATATAGAGAGATGGAAACATGCTTACTATAAAAATTAATTCAATGATACATATTTGCTACCGGTAGGTCTGTGCATTTTAACAATTAACACAAGACACTTAAACAAACAAAGAAAAACTTAGTTGCATAGTTCACTTTATCACTAAGATAAACACAAATTGCTCAGGAATATAGAACTATTCCTGTTCCTGAAATTATTGGGGATTTTGTTTTTCTCCTTGGCATTCCCACAAAGAAAACACTGTACAATATAAGAACAGCCTCAATAACATCCTTATAGGAGACAGGATGATTTTCTGAGGGTTGTTCATTGCAAAGACCTTAAAAATAAACGTACAATATTGCACAGGAACACAATCCAGTAGAAGACTTTTGGCTTTTGCTACCCAGATAGCACATAGTATAACTCACTTTTGTGCCACACTTGTCTGATGGCTAAGTTCATAATTGTCACTTTACCATACTATACTGGCCAATATGGCCGCATGGAACTCAGCATAATGCTGGTTATTCAATAACATGAGAATAATGACACATGACAGAGCCATCACACCATATAAATTGCATGAATTTATATATACAAAAGTTCACATATAAATACCCAGTAAGAAAGAATACCCAACACATTTCTATCTCTACATCCTGTTTTATTTTTCTTTGTGACACGTCATTCTTACAACTCCTTGAAAAACACGTGTGCATACACACACACATACACACGCATACACATACATCTCAGGAACATGGAATTAGATTTATCATAATCCTTGGTTCTTAACATACTACCGTCTTCGGTCCTTGCATGATCCTCATTTTCATGCATTAATTCAATTATTTGATCAAGACATAATCAACACCCCTAAATGCAATATCCAACCCTTACATCTAAAACAATAAAAATAAGCTCCACTAATGTGTTCTTTCTCTTTCTATCCTCTTGCTTTCCTCAGAGACAGCTAAACACCATTCTAAACTCTGTGTATATTATCTTCTGTTTGAACACACACACACATGCACATGCTCAATGATTTTTAAATTATTTTTTAACTTTATAACAAGTCTTTATGATGAATGACATATTCTGAGGCCCACTTCTTGTGCTCAAGTCCAATCTATCCATGTTGTTGCATGTTATTGTTGTAGTTATTTGCTTCCTGCACTGCATAATATCCCATAGGGTCAATATCCCAAGTTCGTTTTTACTATTTGCTACCTATAGTAGGTTCCAATCTTCTACTATTAGCAGTGGTGTCGTGTCTACTTTTGTACACATTTCCTGGTGCAAATGTGCAAAGGTTTCTCTTGAGTTATGTACCTATGAATAGAAATGCTGGGTTACAGGTTATGTTCAAATTACAAGTCAAAAACAAATGGTCATACAACTTTCACTTCTCCCAGCCATATTCAAGATATCTTGTTGGCCTATCATCTCTAATATTTCCGTAAGACTTCTTAACATTTGCCAAACAAATGAGTATTAAATGGTATTTACTTTTGGTGGCATTTCATTATTTATTTATTATTTATTTCCTTCCATTAGAATATAATCCTCATAAATCCTGGTAGTTTGTCTTTTTTGTTATTTTATTCTCAGAACCTATTATAGTGTCTGATACCTAAGACATGTTCAATCAATTTTTAAATGAACTAATATGAAATTATGCATAGTTGATTATAAATTGATGTTGGTTCTATATTTATATTTGACAAAATATACATATAATTAAAACATATAGTAAATTCCTAAAAATAAATGTTTATGATAAAAGAAATCACAGTCCATTTTTTAAATTTCATAAATATTTATATATATATATATATATATATATATATATATATATATAAATGTGTGTCAATTGTTTTAACATCTTTAGCCTGCTTACTCAACTTCTTTGTGCATTTCCCTGGACAGAAAAACTATGAGACCATTTAAATTAAAAGTGCTTAGTGATACTGCTAAAACTAAGGAGAAAATATTTCCACTAATACATCCTCAAAAGTTGCCACAAAACACACACACCCACAATATCAGTAAAGAAGGCACTAGATTACGGTTGGTTCTCCAAAGACCTAGAATATCTGCCAATCATTAACACAAACTGTTTTAATACTTGCCTACATAATTATTCAAAGACATCTCAGAGTTTTACAGCACTCATTTATCATTGTGGCTGTAAGTTTATATCAAAAATAATTAATTCTTTATAACTCTTACAAAATAACTTTTCAGTTCTTTTTTTTTCTTTTATTATTATACTTTAAGTTTTAGGGTACATGTGCACATTGTGCAGGTTAGTTACATATTTGATTCAGTTAATACTAAATGAAATGTTGCTGAGAAAATTTAAGTGAGAGATTTGAAAAGACATTTTCTAAGGCAGTGATTTTCAAAGTGTGGTTTGGGGAACTATAGAATTTTTCATACCCTTTTTAGAGATTCACAAGGTCTGCCCTCTTCCAACTATATATCCATGTAAGGCCAGGTTGTTTTCTTATGCTTTATCCAAAGTAACATATTGCAACAGATTAAATGCTGAAGCAGATTAAGAATTTAACTATCCTCTATAATCCAGACATAAAAAAGATTTGTAATAATATAAAGTGATGCTACTCTTCTCAATTTTTTTGTTTTGGAAAATATAAATATTTGTATAAACTTATTTTGCTAAGTTTTAATGGATTTCTTTTTGTTTTAAGATAAATTAATAAATATTTTCAAAACAGTTCAGTTTTAATTTCTTTTTTATTTTTTTATGATACTTTAAGTTTTAGGGTACATGTGCACAATGTGCAGGTTTGTTACATATGTATACATGTGCCATGTTGGTGTGCTGCACCCATTAACTCGTCATTTACATTAGGTATATCTCCTAATGCTATACCTCCCCGCTACCCCCACTCCACAACAGGCCCTGGTGTGTGATGTTCCCCTTCCTGTGTCCAAGTGTTCTCCTTGTTCAGTTCCCACCTATGAGTGAGAACATGTGGTGTTTGGATTTTTGTCCTTGTGATAGTTTGCTGAGAATAATGGTTTCCAGTTTCATCCATGTCCCTACAAAGGACATGAACTCATCCTTTTTTATGGCTGCATAGCATTCCATGGTGTATATGTGCCACATTTTCTTAATCCAGTCTATCATTGTTGGCATTTGGGTTGGTTCCAAGTCTTTGCTATTGTGAATAGTGCCACAATAAACATACGTGTGCGTTTGTCTTTATGGCAGCATGATTTATAATCCTTTGGGTATATATCCAGTAATGGGATGGCTGGGTCAAATGGTATTTCTGGTTCTAGATCCCTGAGGAATCACCACACTTACTTCCACAATGGTTGAACTAGTTTACAGTCCCACCAACAGTGTAAAAGTGTTCCTGTTTCTCCACATCCTCTCCAGCACCTGTTGTTTCCTGACTTTTTAATGATCGCCATTCTAACTGGTGTGAGATGGTATCTCATTGTGGTTTTGATTTGCATTTCTCTGATGGCCAGTGATGATGAGCATATTTTCATGTGTCTTTTGGCTGCATAAATGTCTTCTTTTGAGAAGTGTCTATTCATCTCCTTCGCCCACTTTTTGATGGGGTTGTTTGTTTTTTTCTTGTAAATTTGTTTGAGTTCTTTGTAGATTCTGGATATTAGCACTTTGTCAGAGGAGTAGATTGCAAAACTTTTCTCCCATTCTGTAGGTTGCTTGTTCACTCTGATGGTAGTTTTCCTTTGCTGTGCAGAAGCTCTTTAGTTTAATTAGATCCCATTTGTCAATTTTGGCTTTTGTTGCCATTGCTTTGGTGTTTTAGACATGAAGTATTTGCCCATGCCTATGTCCTGAATGGTATTGCCTAGGTTTTCTTCTAGGGTTTTTATGGTTTTAGGTCTAACATTTAACTCTTTAATCCATCTTGAATTAATTTTTGTATAAGGTGTAAGGAAGGCATCCAGTTTCAGCTCTCTACATATGGCTAGCCAGTTTTCCCAGCGCCATTTGTTAAATAGGGAATCCTTTCCCCATTTCTTGTTTTTCTCAGGTTTGTCAAAGATCAGATAGTTGTAGATGTGTGGCATTATTTCTGAGGGCTCTGTTTTGTTCCATTGGTCTATATCTCTGCTTTGGTACCAGTACCATGCTGTTTTGGTTACCGTAGCCTTGTATTGTAGTTTGAAGTCAGGTAGCGTGATGCCTCCAGCTTTGTTCTTTTGGCTTAGGTTTGACTTGGTGATGCGGGCTCTTTTTTGGTTCCATATGAACTTTAAAGTAGTTTTTTCCAATTCTGTGAAGAAAGTCGTTGGTAGCTTGATGGAGATGGCACTGAATCTATAAATTACCTTGGGCAGTATGGCCATTTTCATGATATTGATTCTTTCTACCCATGAGCATGGAATGTTCTTCCATTTGTTTGTGTCCTCTTTTATTTTGTTGAGCAGTGGTTTGTAGTTCTCCTTGAAGAGGTCCTTCACATCCCTTGTAAATTGGATTCCTAGGTATTTTATTCTCTTTGAAGCAATTGTGAATGGGAGTTCACTCATGATTTGGCTCTGTTTGTCTGTTATTGGTGTATAAGAATGCTTGTGATTTTTGCACATTGATTTGGTATCCTGAGACTTTGCTGAAGTTGCTTATCAGCTTAAGGAGATTTTGGGCTGAGACAATGGGGTTTTCTAGATATACAATCATGTCATCTGCAAACAGGGACAACTTGACTTCCTCTTTTCCTAATTGAATACCCTTTATTTCCTTCTCCTGCCTGACTGCCCTGGCTAGAACTTCCAACACTATGTTGAATAGGAGTGGTGAGAGAGGGCATCCCTGTCTTGTGTCAGTTTTCAAAAGGAATGCTTCCAGTTTTTGCCCATTCAGTATGATATTGGCTGTGGGTTTGTCATAAATAGCTCTTATTATTTTGAGATATGTCCCCAATAGTAGACATGACTCACCTAAGCAAAAGCTCTTTGCAAGTCTCCATATTTTTAAAGAATATAGACAAGTCCCTAAAATGGAAATGTTTGAGAGCTGCTGCTTTTGGGGAACACATGTTTTTAATAGATAATAATAGATACAAAGAGGTCTATAAGATGTCATAAAAATCGATACAAGTAATTCTGCTTATCCTTAAAAGATTCACTGATATATTTATTCTTTCATCCAAAATTAAAGAGCTCATCCTGTGTGTCAGTCTCAGTGGCTTGGTGCTAAGCAGTCGAAATACAATGGACAATTAAATATGTAATCATTTCCCTTGTAGAGTACCATTGGCCTAAGCTAGCCCTTACAAAGCAGTATGATAGCCATGGGATCAAATAAGAAGAGTTTTAATTTGCCAATATTGTTTAAATTATATTTTGAATTCCTGGTGTTATGGAAAGACATAGTTACTGAATAATATTGGACAGATAAACATACCTTTTACATAATATATGTTTACGTTCCTCTCTTTACACATAATCAAACAAATGTTTTTTAAAGTTTTTTAAAAAATCAGAGACATGAATCTGTTTAAAAGCAATTATTTATATGTAATGCCTTAAAATAAGTAGAAGTGGAAAGGCACATAATTATTTTAGGAAAATATTTCAGAAAATCACAAATAACAAATAATATGCAAAAATTACCATTATGATTAGAAGTTTAATGAAAACCTTTTCTGCATTAGATATAGAAGCAAATACACTATTACTTCTCATTTATTGCTCCATATTTTTGACTTATAATAGCTTAGTTCCCTAAAAATAGAATATTTAAAAATACAAATGTGATAACATGATGTCCTAGCCTACCTACTGAGCTGTAACTGAATCAAAATAGATTTTTTTGGCCAAAGGTAGTCTTAAAATAAATAAACATATAAAATATTTCCAAGATATTTCTGAAGGTAGAAAACAAAACACTAAATCAGAGAAGAAAAAAGAATATATAATGAAAACAAATATATTGACTGGAAAAAAATTCACTTATTTACATTCTTTGATTGTTAATTAAAATCTACATAGCAAGCTTCATAAGCCTGAGAAGAAGATTCTCATCATATTCTCTCATCATGTCTCTATATTACTGCAGATTCCTTAATCTACAGTGAAATGCATGTTTGCTATAAATCGAAAGGGTTTTACGATCCTGAGGTGAAACCAGAGGAGGCTGTAATACTCACTTCATTACCCTGTTGCCATCTTGGATTTTTCATGCTGTTTTATATATTGACTTAGTGCATTTTTACCCTGTTGATATAGGCTTCTTATACCAAATGCTTCTCCACATTCTGGTTAGCTATCCTCCTAGGTATTTTTAACTGGATGTAAAGGAAGGGCATTGCAATCCATTGTCTAATTATAATTTCTTTTATGACTGACATCTTTCACGTGGTAAGAGAGTGTAACCACAGGCTTACCATTAATGGCCCTTAAATCATCTGTACCCCAAAGAGGAAAAACTTGTACTCAGCATTATGTTTGGAACACAAAAGTGTGGTTTTATGCATTTGAAACCATATTGGCAGGTTCATGCTATTTTATTATGTACTTGGCTTTCTATCTTGTTCATTGTGGTGATCTGCTTGTTCCATGATGTCCACCCCCATCCTGTCTGGCCCAGTAGCTGAGCCAAGCACCATGGGCACCCATGGGGTGAACTTGGCAGCTGTGAAACCCAGATGCTGAGTTCCAGTATGTAATTTTCCAGCAACAGCATCTGGGTATTTGGTTGGCCTTTTATCTGGCTTATGTTGTCTGTCAGAGTGTAGAAAGTCTGTGAACCTGGCACAGGATTCTTCTCCTTGTCTGTGGGAATAACTTGCCCATAAAAAATGTCATTTCCTATTTATTCTCATTTGGTGTTGTACAGTTATCCTCAGCAATACATCTGGATAAAGAACCAGAGTGAAATTCCTTGGAAGTCACCTTACACATTAACCCTTTTCATGTCTTTCCCCTCTGACTTCCCTGCCCAATCACATACTCTGTATTTTCTGCTTACATTCTGTGGTCGTATGTATACTCTTGTCCCCATTTCCGCTGTGAATCAGAAAGTGTAATAAAATGATTCAGTGGCTGGCACATGTGTGCAGGAGGCATTTATGTGATTGGACCCCTAGGGCTCTATGGCTCCTTTTGGTTTCAAGTTCTAATTTTAGAACCCAACTATCAAAATACAGTTCATATCTCTTATACCATATTCATTGTTTGAATCAAAGAACAAGGTTATTAAAGTTAAAATAGGGTTGGTCTTTTCATCAGAATATACTGTCTGTAATACTCTACTTCAGCAAATACAGAATACCTTTTCATTTTATGTCTCTTCAAAACAAGATAACCTGATTTTAAAAAGATTGTTTTTCTTCTTTTTCCTCTTTCCTGGTTTTAATCTCAGGGAATTGAAAAAAAAAAAAGAAAGAAAGAAACAACTCTCCCTTTTCCTAATGACTTAATGGATTATGTATAGTTCATTGGTAACACAATTTCTTTCCACATAAAATATTCACATAGTTGTATTTTTAAACCAATAAAATGAATAATGAGTTCAAAATAATAATTACCATAAGAAAATGTGGTAAATTTATTAAAGTTGGATGCTAGAACAACCATTCTGAGATTGGGAAAACTGGATTTGATTTATTTTCTCTATAATCTAACCTAAGAAAAAAAAATAATGTAGGCACACCGTTGTCCTTGATGTGAAAGCATAACTCCCTATACAGTAAGATATGTGACATCTTTCCTACAGACAAGTGCTTACAATCCTGTTCATTAATTTTATCACTAACATAAACTTTTAATATGCATATGATCAGGATATAGGACTTCCAGGGCAGCTTAAAGTGACTGTAACCTGTAATTACTGTTCCTGTACTTGATTATAATAATCTGATTGCAATTATTCAGTGATTTTAATACAAGCCTCAAGCTACATAACAATAAATCAAGAGCAGTGATTGGGAACATGTTTCTGTTTGGCTGTGAAATGATGTTTTAATCCATAGTGATTCACAGATCTGACTATAGTTTTGTTCAGGTAATTAAAGCACATTTATATTGTCAGGTAAAATAACCTTATTTTGAAGTAGATTAATTAATGCAAAAAATCCATATAAGTAAAAATATATCATGATAATACATTCTTTAAGAAAATGTAATAAAGCAAAGATTCTTATGGTTGGGAAAATTGACCTTTATGACCATCTATCCAAAAATTGCAAATGGAGGTGAAAGAGGAGAAGAGGTGGAGCCAGCCAAAAGACGTATCTATTACAGCACATTAATGCTACCCCAAGTATTTCTACTGAATATGGAGCTTGAAAGGCTCAAAGGCCAAATGAATAATGTATAATTTATTCTGTAGAAAAAAAATGTTTATGAATACCAATATTTAAGGGAAATATTTGGTAAATGAATAATTCCAAACTGTAGGAGGCAAGTGTAAGGGGCAAGGACAGAAATGCTCCGTTGTCAAATATTTTCAAGGAAGCTTCTCTAGAAAAGACGAAATCTTTGGAGATAATAAAAATATATTGCCTATGAGATCTGTGACATTACGCTGGTTTTTATTTTGATGTTTGTTTCATTTCCTTTTCCTTTTAAAATTAAAATTAGGAAGCAGTAAACCTTGATTTTAAAGCAAGAAATGTAGAACACCAAATAGTGCTCCCAGACAGTTAAATTTAATCTAATGGTAAAGCAGTAGTTTGAAATGAGAGATATACAGTGCTACGAGAGAGAGAATAGTTTTAAGAAACTGCCTTAAACTAGACTGTCAGAATTACTGGACTGCCTGAAGGGGTGGAAGAGGCAGACCCAATAGACTTCCTTGAAAAATGGATCCCTAAGGCTCTTCAACTCAATCTAACAAGCGACCCAATTTTCTTCTAGAGGTGCTTAAGAATTCCAGGAAACAAAGGAATAAGGAGACAAAGCATAATCCTGACTTTTAAAGTCCCCAATTGGA
Organism: Homo sapiens; assembly: GCF_000001405.40. Lineage (NCBI taxonomy): Eukaryota > Metazoa > Chordata > Mammalia > Primates > Hominidae > Homo > Homo sapiens. Next base: position 92,579,118 of record NC_000005.10, on the reverse strand, counting down.
GAAATAAACAGTGAATTATCATCTCTACGTGTGACAAATGAGGTGCACATTATGAAAAACACAAAGTACTTTTCCCTTCTGATACTAAACCCACGTTCAAATGAAGGACCAGGAAAATACCTTTCATGCTGGCTGATGAAAAGCTGTATTACAAGGAGGTAAATGAGGGTAAAAGGTACTTCTTTTGGATTAAATATAACATTAAAAGCATAAAGTCTGGTCAGTAGAGCAAGCAATCTGTTCAAGACTAAGTTTCCAAGGATAACTCAGGAATCAAGGGAACATTTCTAAACAACTGACCATGATCAATTGCAAGTGATTTTTTCATAGTATAGGAGGAATTTGGTAAAAGATCACCAGAGGCAGTTGGCAACATTTTTGAACCACATTCCCAAGTGAATTTATTTCCTTTTCTTTTGTAAGTGATCTTTAAAAAATATGCTTTACCAGCCTTTTAGTTTTGGTCTTAGTATCAAATCATCTCTATCTTTTTGCTAAAATGATTTATGGCATGGGTTTTTATCAATTAAATTCTTAGGGTTATATTTCTTGCCTGGTTTTCCAAATGGGAAGGGGGAGTCAGAAGAGAAACAAAAAATACACTTTATTGTGTAAACTATGTTCTTTACAGCTGAAAAAAAAAACTCACATTTTTTATAGGACTGTTAAAGCAATGAAAAAAACATAAATTTTAAAAATGTAAAAAAATTTTTTGAAAATGATTATATAAGCTTGATGTTAAATAGAAATCTCTCTATGTTTATTCCTTAACATATTCAATTTCAAAAAACTACGTGTCTACATAATTAGAAGTCCTGTAGGGAGGCATTCTTGATCTAATAAAGTTTACCTAGAGATGAAAGTCTCAAGCCTGCTGTTCATTGCTGAGCCATGAGGATCCTATTCGTGGACTCCATGTTCACAGGAAAATGCAAGAATTTCTTCAATTTGTGGGCCTTCGCTTTTCATTCCTAAATATGACTCAAGTCTACTTCCTACTAACCTACTAGATAAATTACTCCAAAATTATAAAAATTTGGTACTGATAAGTAAAAATAGTCTAATTATGGAGTCTTCTGGGAAGTTAATTCTGAATTCTACTAAGTGTAGCTGCCTACAGCACATGGCAAAACTGCAAAGCTCATGCTGTGAATTTGCATGTATAGATGGCTCTGGGATTCCTGTAATTCTCTGCAAAGATGTTTTGTTATCAGTGAATCATCAATATTTTCAAATTAGGCATGGTTTCTAACAAATAGGTTTTTTTCTTTTTTTACTTTTTAACTATAACCCTTTTTGGTTTAGTTACATCGTCATCTAATTGATTTATTGTCCATTGTTTGGTTTACTCAGAGGTTTATAGTGATATATTTACACTTACTGCATTTTCATACAAATTTTTCTAAAAGCTCTATTTTGAGACTTATAGGCATTATAATACACATACATATCATTCATCCCTTAATTTTTCTTACTACTTATTCTAAATGTGAGGATCAATATTTTTATTTATGAGACTTTGCTAGTTAAATCATTGTCTTAAAATCTTAGTTCATTTTTTCTTTCTAAGACCACTGTATACAACAAACTATTTTCCTAAAGACAACTCTAAAACAATGCCTTTGAAAATGATATTAAGGAAGGAATAAGTAACTGTAAGCTGAAATATAGCAAATTATACAGTTAGTAAATTTGTATAAAAATCTCTTATGCTGCTACTTGAAAAATCATAAAATTTTTAAATTATCTCCTCAAAAATGAAAAAGGATCACATCCTATGAATGTATAATTTCTTCTAAGTATTAGCGATTTTAGAGTGAAGAGTCTAAATCTATGTTTGTTAAGCTGACATACGATTGAAATCCAATAACACCCTCCAGTGGAAAAAGAGCCATAAAGTGTTGAGTAACATCTCAGTTACTGCCCCTTTAGCCAAACATCCAAAGGCATTTGCACAAACTGTAACATTTTGTATCATGTGGCTATGTCACTGAATGGGCCTAGTATCAGATCTCATCCAAATGCAGCCCAAATGCCAGACATGAGGGAGAAAAAAGCATATCAAGTAACCACAAAAAAAAAAAAAAAATTCTACTGGCCGGGCGCGGTGGCTCACGCCTGTAATCCCAGCACTTTGGGAAGCCGAGATGGGCGGATCACGAGATCAGTAGAGACCATCCTGGCTAACACGGTGAAACCCTGTCTCTACTGAAAATACAAAAAAATTAGCCAGGCGTAGTGGCGGGCGCCTGTAGTCCCAGCTACTCCAGAGGCTGAGGAGGAGAATGGCTGGCGTGAACCAGGGAGGCGGAGCTTGCCGTGAGCCGAGATCGCGCCACTGCACTCCAGCCTGGGCGGCTGAGCTAGACTCCGTCTCAAAAAAAAAAAAAAAAAAAAAAAATTCTAGTATACATCATTGTAAATGATTGAGTTAATCAGACCTTTCTTTCATGGGAGTATAAAACTGAGATTCACAGAGAGGGAGTAGAAATTTTAAAAAGAAAACTCTGTTTAGAGAAGTGAGGAAGAAGAAGCCGTGAGGTAGAAGTCAAGAGCTAGGAAAGAAAATGGAGAGAGCAGCTGGTAGCAGAGTAGGAGCTGAACCGGGCCATGGAGAAGGAACTATCCGGAGTAGGTGAGTGGCTGGTATGTTCACCTCCCCAGAGTAGGGCTCAGTGGAGGCCCAGTCCTGAGAGTTTGCCCAATTGAGCTGCCAGTTTCCTGAATGATGTTGCAGTTCTTCATAAAGCCTGATTGATAAAGTGCCGAAGCCGTTTTCATTATTTCTTTTCTCTCTGTCAATCCTTAACATAAATCTTGACCATCTGCAGTAATGTGAGAAAGGTCCAAGAATAATGGAGAGGTCTGGGAAGAGGGAAAAGAGAGAGAATGTGAAGAAGAGGGGCAGGTCCATCAGATGTGATCACTGGTACGCAGTTTACAAAAGATATGGGGCTGTCCAGTATTTTATTTAGGAATTATTTTGCTGAAGGAAATCCTTCTGTCTACTGTCAAGCCTTTATTAAAATTCTGCTATATGCATTAGCCTGTGCTTATGATTACTCTGGGATGTAAAAGGAACGGCATCCCAGACTCACATTAGCGCCAGGGCAACACAGAGAAGACACAGCCACAAGAGGCAGAAGTAGAAATATGCAGCCCAAGAGGAATAGGACAAAAGTGAATTCCTTAAGGTTACGACACATTGTAAGTGGACATTATGATACAGAGGCTTTTAATATTTATATAAGATTTCACAAAGCTAGATAGAATATTTCAAGGAATACAAGCAGCCTACCTTTGAGTATATTTGAGGCCTAAAACAAAACCAAAGCATGTTTTCTAATTAGTTTTTAGGGAATATATAAATAAAGTAAAAATAATGAAGAAAAATAAGAAATAATTTTCTATACTTTATGACACGAACTTAAAAATTAATATATTAGTAATTTTTTCAACAGTGATCAATATTTAAGAGCCAAAACAAAATAATTTGTTTCTAGGTTTTAGAAGAGAAAAGTAATGACATATTTCATTAACAGCTATATTTATGTAGTTGCAGTTCAGGCTTCAAAATTGATTGCCTCTAGGCCTAAGGCCACCCGTTACCTGCAGAAGGAACCTAAGGAAGGATTGAAAGGTCATGTATTTCCGAATGTTCCATGGTAAATTTTAGAATCATGGAGGTCACGAAGTAACTGTTGATGGTCTCCATTATCCTAATGACATGGCATCTTTGGAATGTACCTTTATGCATATTTAAGCATATCTTGGTATATTGATCCTTCTGCGACATCAGGTTCACAGTTCTAATTCTGCATAAAGATTACCCATTGACAGTATGAAGTTAACTTCAGGCAGTTGGTAGCAAAATTGTGAGCTACTCTGTGGAAAGTTAACTGTTACCTCATTATATTAACAATAAACCACAAGATAACCCTCAAAAATTGCTGCAGATTTAATTTCACCACATAAAGAATTAACTTGCTTATAGAAGCATATCACATAATCACAGAATTTTGTTTCAGAAAGGAAACTACAGATATCAAATAATATCTAAGGTTACATTTTCAGACAACAGAAAAACCAGGAGAGCCCAGGCTTTCTGATTTCTTGTTTAAGATATTTTCCGTTTGATCCTGTGGCCTTACTCGTATTCCAATATTAAATAAATTATTATAATAATGTATAATTTTATCATGTACTTAAAGCAAATAAAAAGTACTAACAGGAACAAATAAATCTAACAAAAAAATCCCTTAATTTGTATTTTTCTAAAACTAATACATATATATGTAAGAATTCAAAATATAAATATAATTTATTCCCGAGTTGTTTATTATAATTATTCACTTCATTACAAAGTAAAGCTTAGAAAAATTATACAATTTTCTCTTATCTTTATTCTTCCTCGAAAGCTATCACAAGGCAAAAGTCTCTACTATTAATGATGATCTCAACAAATCTGTAAGAATCAAAACATATTAATGGGAGAATCCATAATATAATTTTATTCCACACTTATTACCTTAAGATAACGTCATGAAGGCCAACATTTGTAACCTAAAAAATAAACTAAAGAAAGATGCTGAGAGCCATCTACTACTGTTATATTTTAAACTACTTATGAGCTGTGAATACTTTAAATATTAATCTCACCCAAGCCTTTTTTTCCCCCATTATGCTTTAATAGACTGGTTTTCTTCATTTGAAGTGGTTTCAATTTCCAATAGTGCATCAAAGTCAATAAAAGAAACGGATATACTGCACCCACTTTTAAATCTCTAGAGCTTTTTTTCCAAATCATTAACCAAGGTGAGCATCTTACCACTACTTCCACAATTGCTTTTGCCTAATGACTCTTGGTGAATATCCAGCAAAAGGATGCTTCTATCGTAATGATAAACCATTGGTCACAACTGTATATCATAGTATAGGAAACCACATTTTCATTGACCACAACCACCACAAACTCAAATTTTGACTTCCTTTCTTTTTCTGCATGAGCAGTAGTTTGTTCCAGACTCATATTTGTTGCATATTAATATCTTCAGCACTTAAAGTTGGAATGCCCAGCTCTATCTTAACGCACATGTAGTAATTTTTAAGAAAAGTGCAACACCTATATATTTGTAAGTCTGGTTTTAAAAATAAAGGCACTTGTTTTGAGAGGAAGAACAATCTTATTTAAAAAGAGTGCTGGACTAAAAGTCAAAAGATGCAAATTAAAGTCCTCAGTTAAATAACTAGGAAAGTCATTTAACTTCAGTATGGCAAATTGTATTTTCTTCATTTTTCCCATCATTAAATAGATGCAGACATACCTTGAAGGGTTTTAGTACTAAAACATGTATAATCATGTTATAAATTCTAAAATTTATACAGTGTAAGATATTGCATTTATTGTAAATTAAGTATGAGTTTAAAAGACTAAAGATTCATTGAATGGAGAACATTTAATTCTTAAAATTTGCGTTTCAGGTTTCTCTTAGTATTGCTATTTACTCATGCTTGAATGCAGAGAAAATGCTGCCCAGAGCAAGAACATGTCCATCTGCTTCTTAAAGCTAATTTCCTACTGGCTTGTATAGCAGACACCACCGCGAAAGCTTCTTAACAACACTAGAGTACCTCCGCAGTTTAGAGCACTTATTTTCAGAGCGCAGTCCCCTGATCAACAGCATCAGCTCCACCGGGAAACTTGTTAGCTCTGTAACTTCTTAAACCTAGATCAAGATCTACTTAATCAGAAGCTGTGTGACTGGGACATGCCAATTGCTTTTATTAAGCCCTTCATCTTATTCTGATGTCCACTAACATTTGAAAACATAGGTTTAGATAAGTATCTGAAAACTTCTTTGTAAAGGACTAGAGAATAAAGATTTTAGGCTTTGCAGGTCATATTATCTCTAAAGCAGCCATCGACAATATGTAAATAAGTGAACATACCTATATTACAAAAAAAAAAAAAAACGTTATTTACAAAAATAGATGGTAGGCTAAATTTGACCCTCAGGACGTAGCTTGCCAAGTCCTGGTTTGGAGAAACTTTTTTGTGAGGGTTTGAATAGTTCTCTGCCATCGGCTAGATGACTCCTTATTGGAACCTAAATGCATCTATACCGGTATCCCAACTATATCTACAAATCTAAGGTAACTGAGGAACGGCTTTGAAATACAGAGGGCACGTTCATGGAAAAGATTACATGGGGTGGGTATTTTGAGTTTGTAGGAAGATGATAGCTGACTTAATACATGATGGTTTGACCTAAGACTAGCCCTGCATTGATGTGAGCAGTATTACAGACATAATGGTAAGAGCTGTGTGATTTAATCCTGTAGTAATTGGATTATCACAACTGGGTCATAGAAAACCATAGTTTGCTTGGATATAAGATGTATTTCACATTTATTGTATAAATTACTCAGTGATACTTTTTCTATTTAGAAGTATGCTTTGAATTATTAGATTTAAATTTAAATATTGATTTGGAATATACTTATCGAAGCAATGTAGGCATTCCTTAACTTGGAATTACTTTAAGTCCACTTATATTGGCGTTGCTTCTTGTGTAGTAATATCTGACAGATCTTTTCTCTGTCTTCTTGCGTAGACAAAGTAACATACACCCATTAAGAGGTAAAGCATGGTAGAATCCAGAATTGCACTGGTCTCCAGATTTCCTTACCATGCTCAATTCTCTGCATTTTGGAGTGCGCCTTTCCAAAGACAGGCCCATTTTGGAATGGGCATTTTTTTGTCTAGAAAATGTCCTGAATATTAAGTTTAAAACTGATAAGCTAAACAACACAATATAACTATTTGTGCCCCAAAAAGCAATGTAACTGCTTTTTGGGGCAGTGGGGTGAGATGAGGAGTGGAAGGTGTGAGCCAGGAATAGAGTGAAATATCAGATTTTTCAAGTTGAAATGCCAGTAAATCCCAATCATAACACAAGGGGAACACATTCCAACTTGAAAAAGCAATCATGGTACATTTGTTGTGATGTAAACTTTGTGGATTATAAAGAACTTTAATATGCATTATCTTAATTCAAATCCAAACACATATTTTGGTATAGGAGAAAGTATAATGAGAAATATAAAGCAGATACATTGTCTTGTGCAATTTTCTCAAAATTATTAAGTAGGTTTAAGTCTCCCATAAAGTCATTAGATCATTATTAAAATTGTCCTAGAGATATTATTTAATATTTTGTGATGCAAGTAAAAAGAGTTCAATTGGAGATTGATTCTTTGAAGTAAACTAGACAAACTAGCCAAATTTTGCAGTTAAAAAAATATTAAATTAAGAATTATAAATGTACTATCAAATGGTCTATTATAAAATGGTTACTCCAGTGCCCTGTCTGATTGAAGTACACATTTTGGGAGCTTTAAAATTTCCAAGATGATAGTAAATCACTTTCATTTAATGAAATAGGCAATTTTGCAATCAGTTCTTTAAAATAGTAGATCTAGAAACCTTAGTGAGAGATTTTCAACCCCTCATAATTATTTTCTGTGTGAAGTGGGACTCAAGCCTGTATGAATAATAATATGAACTTAGTATACATTTACATAAATGTCATGCGATTTTGGATTACAACCTTACATTGTTTGCTTGTCTGTAAACAGAAAACCCAATAGATAGTCATGGCTATCATTAGATTGAAATATTTTCACAGGTCACATCAAACAGTACACCAATAATAAAGAAATACATGACTGAAGTAAAGAGGGGTCCCACACAAAGGTAACTGAAGGAAATATCTTAAAGCAGAATTAAACTGGAAACCAACTTGTACACTCACAGCCTTACAACTAGAGAGCAGAAAGAATCACCTATGGTCACTGTGCACAGCAGCCTCTGGCCTTGTTTGACTAGCAACGGCTTTGAGTTATGTTTTACCTTAAAGAACATGACAAGGTCACAAACAAAATTCTAGAACTGCTACAGGCCTAGTGTTTCTAATTTCCAACTAATATTAACCTTTAGTATTTGGGAACAAGAAATTGGAATTCTTAAAAATTATTGGGAATAATGAGATCATGAGTTATTCTTTGTTTTCCACAACACTTTTTTTTACATGTTTCTAAGTATTAATGATTGAATAAAATAATAGTGAAACCTTTTTACATGCCAAAATTATACTAGAAGTTGCAGAAGTTTTTAATGTAAAGCAATGAATAATAAATGCACATTTTATTATTATGTATCACTATGTTGTGACAAGTTTAGATATTCCAATAATGTTAAAATTATATATATCTGCAATAGATATTTGATAAAGAATAATGAAGGAAATATTAATATAAAATCAATGCCAAATAAAAATTATTTAAAACATTGAAAATAATCCAAATATTTAATATTTCTGAGTTATAATACTTAAAAGTAATTTCAAAATACACAAAGTGGGAGTAAAACACACAAGTACTCATTTTCCTATCTAAAAGACTTAATATTTGTTACATGATAAATATTCTAGATGTAGAAATAGTTTGTATTTTGTTATTGACACTGATCAAACTGTTATAAGCGCTTCCAAAAGCGTTTACAACTTGGGCATTAGGGTATATGTTATTTAATATAATCTCTTTTTTTAATGATGAAAACATGCTCTGATTTGATTTTAGTATTAAAATAAATACACTTTTACCAACTTAGATTTTAGATCAGTTTTGGATTTCACCTTGGAGATTCTATACCATTGTTATCTTCTTTTCTTTGTAGTTATTTTGTTAAAATATTTCAAAGAAACACAACCTATAGCAAATACTGAAACACTGAAAATTACCACTGTGCATTATTGGGTAGTATATTAGTCTGTTCTCATGCTGCTAATAAAGACATACCCAAGACTGGGTAATTTATAAAGACAAAGAGGTTTAATGAACTCACAGTTCCACATGGCTGGGGAGGCCTCACAATCATGGCAGAAGGCAAAGTAGGAGCAAAGACACCTCTTATATGTGACAGGCAAGAGAGCATGTGCAGGGGAACTGCTCTTTATAAAACCATCAGATCTCATGAAACTTATTCACTCTCATGAGAACAGCATGGGAAGAACCCGCACCCATGATTCAGTTACCTCCCACCAGGTCCCTCCCACAACATATGGGGATCATGGGAGCTACAATTCAAGATGAGATTTAGGTGAGGGCATAGAGCTGAACCATATCAGGTAGTATTTTAAAAAAATTAAACATTTGTATCTCCTATCAAGGTTAACAGCAGTACAGGTGTAGATTTCAATTTAATGATTTATTTTACTTTCAAGTCAAATTGTTTCTTGGAACACTATTCATAGTATTTGCATAAAGTATATGATATGTATTAACTTATTAATATTTATTTATGTTTTAAAAATGACTTATTGTAAGCCGCCAACAGCCCATGAACATTTTTATCATGGCAATAACCACAAGCAAGATTGACTAATTAGATTGTGACCTCTTCTTGCCTATGTGTTCTTGTCCTGTTTCCAGGAAATATCAACTTTAACTTTTGACTGACTGTCAAGGTGTCTCACTTTTGCTTTTAACTTGATGTCAATGGATTCCTTCAAACCAATAACATCTCTGTGATGATATTTAAGCTTTAATTCTCGCAGATAATTATAATACTTGTTTTTAATTTTTTAACATTTCTCATTTAATAATTCTCAGGATTCAAGATTTGAAAAATATAAATTTCCCAAGAAAGCCTGAGAAGGAATTCCCATATAGAGACAGCATCCAGGTCATCTGTGCTACAGTGAATATTCATAATAGCTCCTGTCTCAGTATTTGCATACAGTCCACCTGCCTTCATGTTTCTATACTTAATAGCTCACAGAGCAAGGAAAAGTGGCATCTATAATTTTTTTTTTTTTTGAGATGGAGTTTTTGCTCTTGTTGCCCAGGCTGGAGTGTAGTGGCGTGATCTCAGCTCACCACAACCTCCACCTCCTGGGTTCAAGTGATTTTCCTGCCTCAGCCACCGGAGTAGCTGGGATTACAGGTGTGTGCCACCATGCCTGGCTAATTTTGTATTTTTAGTAGAAACGGGTTTCTCCATGTTGATCAGACTGGTCTTGAACTCCTGACCTCAGGTGATCCACCCGCCTCGGCCTCCCAAAGGGCTGAGATTACAGGCGTGAGCCACCATGCCAGGCATGATAAGATTATTTGACTTGTTAATGTAAAATAAGATTCAATCACCATCAGAAAATTACTCTAGATATTAGCTTGAAAAAACATCATGTGTCCAATGACCTACTATATGTCTAAGAGCATGCTATTGAGAATAGAAACACATTGTTTATGAAAAGATACTCAGCTAGTCAATGAGATGAGGTGGTAAATGTGTCAACAGTGACAGGCTCTGCAAACACAAAAACAAAATCCAATAAATGGGGAAGAGATTCCAACAGTTTACTGTAGGAAACATGTGATTCCTTTTAATTTCAACCTTCCTCATTTAACAACAATGTCAAAGTAATGATTTACGTGTACAAAGGACAACATCATGGTGAATAATAAAATTAGTACCAGGAAGCACAATTCAGGAACTCCAACTACATTTGTTCCAGGACCATTCCCTACGGCAGTGTGTTCTTCCCCACTTATGTTACTAAAGTGCAAATATCACCAAACAGACAAAGAATCTTAAAGGATAGATTGTCAAAATCAAAGAGAAGAATGCAAAATACATGCCCCAGAAAATGATATAAACTGTTTTTTTTCTTATGTTATACATGACAGTGAACATATTCCATTCAAATTTTCTTTTTCCTTTAGCACCAGCACATTGAAAACATACAAATTTTCCGCTGGAGAAAATCAAAAGCTAAGTTAAACATCCATGCACTGAACTCTGAACTCTTTGATCCATATGACACTGAAGACTCCAGAGGTGATTCCAAAATTAATACTGTCATTGGTATATTTTTCTCAAAGAATTCCTCAAGTTTTTGGTGAAGGCTGAACTTAGTTACCATGTCCTTAGCATATGTTCTTTTGAAAAGCAGCTGTTCTACAGCTTTGCAAAGCAAAAACCACAAGACTAATATGAAATCTAAAGCAAACACAGGCATGGTCAAATGGTCAGTTTTATGTCAGTTACAGCAGGCTGGACAAACCTCCAGGGCATCAACCCTACAGTGCCCAATTCCAAAGCAAATGTCAGTGAGAACTATATCTCCCTTGTCCGCCATAGGCTTTCGCTTAAATTATGTAAATACTGAGGAAGATTCATGAAGTCAAAGTTTTTTTGTTTGTATTTGAAAAAACAAGGAGTTCAGTTATTTCATATAATATGATGGACATTGAGTCAAGAATTGGGCTTATCAATTACTGACATCTAAAAATCACTAATTTTGTTAAATACTTAGGTAGTTTATGTGACTTAAAAAATATTAACTATTATTTCTTCTTCCTGTGTATTCCATGGTTATCTTTGCTAATGAGGTACTATAACATTTTGACAAAAGCATTAAATATGTCACAATCTAAGGAAGATCAAAGTCAAAGTTATAGTAATTGTTACTTTTCCTACAAGTATCATTGGAAGTTGAAAAACTAGCATTATAAATGAACCAATCACTGAAAATCTTCTCAAAGTTAATAGAAAAATAACTTCTATTTTATTTTGGGGATCTAAAGAACTAGAAAATGGCAACTTCTAAAACATATAATAAAAATTCTTATTTTACCATTCTTGTATTTTCAAGTGTAAAGCTGTTTACAAACTTTGCAGGCTGATGCCACACTGAGATAGTTAATGTGTTGCCTCATGGTGGCAAACCATTAGAATGTTCTGCATTATAGGGATAAGGGATTTTAAGATGAGAAAATTTCACAACATTTTTTATCTAATCGAAAATTGACTGCAATTAATATTTCCTCTAAGGCAAGAGAGAGATTCCACCGAGGCATGTACCTTCTTCCACTCAAAGGTAATTATCAAGCTCCAGAAATGATTGGTTTAATAAAATTTCTAGTGATCATATAGAAAGTATGTGTAATATAAATCAGAAGACTGAACATTCCTATAAATACTGCCAGTACTTAAATACTTGTCATGGAATGTATCCATGCTTGCTTTCAGATTTATCTACAACATATGTCTCAGTTAAGAATTTTACAAATACATCCAGCTATAGGCTATTGCTTTTCTTTTAAAAAAATCTACTAATTTTGGAAAATAATATGTGTAAGCATAACCATAGATTATTAAGTGATATGGCACATATTAATATGTATAATTATAGATAGATTTATATATAAATGTTTATATGCAAATACAACACATTTCTTATAACTTTCTGTATCGAGGTTTTCATTAATATAATTTGATTTCTGAAATTCTTTTCCATTTAGAATCACTGGAAAGAGCCTTTGACCTACTGGGAGAGATATTAAAATAGATTCCTATATGGAGAGAAAATAGAAGGGAATATTTTCTATTCATACTAATCCTGAAAATGTTCCAGGTCACTGACCCACACTGATAGGGTGTACATTAAACTCCACCTATCGTTTCATGATGCATTTAATTTCTGGATACTAAATCTTAAAATGTTCCAGTTGTAACCTAATACATTGTTTTTTCATCTTTCAAGGGGAAAGAAGATACCATGCAATTCAAGCTCTTTGCACACACAAATGAAAACACTGGACACTGTAGATTGCTTACTATCTTTGTCTAATTTAAATGCCAGTGTGAAATTAAATATAATGTTAAGTATTTGCTGCTTGCCTTTCTTTAGAAGAAAGAGAAAATAACACGTTTTATTTTTGTGGGCTCAGTAAATAACTAGATAAAAAGTTTAGGTTATTGACAACACAAAGATTATTTTAACTTAAACTAAGTTTTTTTTTTTTAAATCAACTTTTGCTCATTAACCACCCTACACGTGTACTCTGTGGGTATTATACAGAAGTGTTTCAGTCCAAGGTCTGTAAGGAAGACTTAATTGAGAAGAGCTATGTGTTTTTATTTATAAACTTAGGAATTGTGATATGGGGAAATGAGTAGTTCAATCTTTTTAGAACTTTAATGGGCACATATTAAGAGATTAGTAACACCTCTTCAACTCACCCAACTTCTCAACCCTGCTCTAAGGGAATCACATGAGCACTCGACCTCAGTAAGATTTTAAGAAGAAAAACAAACTTCATAAAACTTAATCACATTAGTTGAAAGCTGGAAGGATGTTTTAATGCTTCTCCTAAGCCACCAAGTTCCATTACCTGAATCCCATCAACATAATCCTTTCTAAGGAAGAAAAGAATGAATCAAATGGAAAAGATTTGTAATTGAATTATCTTCAGTCTCAGCGCCAATTAGAAACATTTTTTATTGGCACACCGAGATATAACCTTGACTGTTTCTAATTAGTCCATCAACTCAGATAATAAGAAATGCAGGAACATGTTTACAGTGTTATAAATTGAAAAGAGTTCATATTGTGTATAACATGTGTACTACCCATATATGAATAGATGGAGAGGGAGGAAAGAAAGAAGTGTATTTATAATAGGGTAAAGGGTTATCCCATAAAATATTTCCATTACTGAGTAAAGAAGGTCATTCCTTTGCATAGAAAGAATTATAATTCTATTGCTGTCTATGCCATATTCATTTTAACTATTACCATGTTTTAGCCAGTTGTGCTGTTTGAGAAAAAATGAATGTGGTATATAGTTTGTCTTAAAGTAGACCTATCAATTTAATAAAGATTTTTGGCATCGTCTTCCATAAAATAGTTGATAGTAAAATTGGATCTTGGGAGTGATGGGAGATGTGCACTTCAAACTGATTTCTGAGTAGTTAGAACATTTTTAGGTGTCAAGGTTCATTTCAGAAGTGTAACTGAATGCAAAAAGAAGCATACTTAATTTTCTATTCTGATATTCTGAAACAGAAACACAACATCCCTGTGACTTCCTTTCTTAGAAGGCTTGATAAATAAACACCCTGGGTTCTCCTGAAAAGAGAGAACTTTCAGGAGTTCTCTGTTATAGAAGTAGACAAAAAAATGATTATTTGCTGCACAGAATATTGTTTGTGGGTTCTTATTTTTATTTAATACTCTTTACACATGATGTGTATTTCTCAGCTCTGGGTTTTAAGAAATAATTTTACTTCTCAAAGAGGCAAAACTTTTTGGACAGAAGTTTTCCATGTGTACCTAAAAAAATGCAATGATTTTGGTAAAAATATATTCAATCTATTTTAATAATTATTAGTGAAAAAGATTTTTTTTTATTTTAAACTAAGATGACTATAAGCAATTTCTTTAACCAATCTGATTATTTGGTGGGCTTTTATTTCCAAGCATAAGGTTCAGTTCAATTATCTTTGTGCTTCTTCTTCCAGGTGTATAATTGTAAACAGTTTTAAAGCAAACTGCATGTATCTAATTAGGGCACTTTTATTCCATCCTATCAACGGTACTTATTGAAGATCTACTAGAGACTAGACACTTACTATAGATGAGTGTAGATTAAAAATAAATAAATAAATAAGACCTGCTCACTGCAGTCAAGCAGTTTTTGCTCTAGACATATTTACTTGAATAACTTAATGTGAGAAAAACTTTAGTGTCTAAATCATAATAGTATTCACAGAAGTTAATAAAATGAAAGTCAAGTTTGAAACAGTATTTAACTTTTTTCAATCTTTATAAATAAATTTTAATCTATTTCTTTAAAAAATTCTTTATTTCTTACCTGCTGTTTTTTGTTATTAGACTCTAAAGTTTGTCACTCACTCATGTATTTGAAATAAAAGCAAATCTTTACAATAAAAATAAAACATTTCCTTACTTAACAAAATGCCCATTTGCCAAATTGGAGTACAATAGATCGTCAGTTAAATGTGAAAAAGGAATTTTATATTTATCAAAATACATGCTGTATTACCAACTTAATGGTAAGATAAAAGAATTACTTTAAAGTGTTTTTGCATACATTTTTATTCTATATAACTTTCAAGGTCATCAAAAGAGTTATAGAGCTGTAAAGTTATTCCAGACATAAGAATTTTACCATTATCACTTTTCACTTTATGTAAATTGAATGAATTATATTATCATAGCTAGAATACTTAAACAATAATTAACCCTATGATTCAGTACCTATTTTTAATAGCACATTTTCTTCTAGATTGTTAGTAACTGTATTGATGTTTGGTAGGGGGCTACTATTTTTACTAGTTACCTGCATATATTGTACAGCACTGTCTTTAGCAATTTCTTGTAATGCTTGCATATACTAGCTGGTTAAGGGTGGGAATAGTAGCAGGGAATTCTCAATTGCTCTTATGAATTTGCAATTGAGAGATTGCAATTCTAGGTTCTGGCTCTTTTGCTACTAGAAACACATAATCATTTAAAAATATGTGTACTCTTATTGGGTCATGCTCTTTGTAGGAACATGTAGGTCACATACCATCTCCTGATATTCCCTTGTACACAATACCATATATATATATATATATAATTATGAAATATGACTTTATTCTTTGCCCCTGGGGAGAATAAAAAGTTATACAGCTATATAAGACTGAAATACCCCTTTCCAATCTAGGACCAAGAGAGTGGTTCTTTGGGAATGGAAAAAAGGAAGAGACTGTGAGGAATTAAATTTAGGTTTAATATTGCTCCAAGTTTATTAATTTAAAAGGAAGGGTAAGTTTTCAGTTGTTTGTCTGAAATGGCAACAAATGTAAATAAAATTTTAAGATATAATTTTATCCCCTAAGTTTATCATAACATTATGTTTTTATTTGTACTTACATTATGATAATTACCTCAAAAAACTTAAGAAACTGAAGGGAAAAATATGTCTAATATAGCTAATAAAAATAGTTTTGCTTGGATGCTAAGAATTAAACAGGTGGTATTTTGGCATACATTTGTTAGTGAGAAAGAAATGGCTAAAATACTAATTGTCATTTCTTCCCAAAACATAAAATTCTCTCTTAAATAATTTTTTCATTCACAATTATTTCTTCCAAACATTCTTATTGTACAGGTGTAAAATGTCATGTACCTTTTGAACATCTCTGAACATTAACAGAAGATATAAAGATATTCAAAAAGGGTAGTTGTTACACGTACTTTGAAGCCAGTAATCACATATTTGTGTTTGTTACTGATGTCTTAATGTCCCAAAGTTGCTCTAAGTAGTTACAAGAACACAGAATAAAAATCATGAGCTTGGGGAAACATATTTTCTAACCAGTAGAACATCAATATGCCACAAATATTTTCTCTACTGACAAACTGTAATGAGGTAAAAATGCCTTCCTGCAGTAAAATCTTACCTTGAGGTTAGATGCCATCTATCTGTAGCTAAGGCATCCAAAACAAAATAAAACAAAACAAAAAAACAAAAAAAAAGTGTAATTCTTACCAATACAAAAAACAAAACTCAGACTATTGTAGGAGTCTGCCATTTTTCATAATAATTTTATGTTTAATCATAATTTTACCATTTGTAATCTTTTCAATTTTTCTGCTTTTTCCTATTAGAGATGAGTTTTAACATTACTGGTGTCCAAAACAAGTAAAAGAAACAGGTAAAATATAGTAGAGGAGATGAAAAATATAGCAATGATCTCACATTTGTGTAGTTCTCTAGAATTTACAAAGTGCTTTTGGATAGAACAACAACCTCAAATTGAAGTCCAGATTAGAATATTAAATTGATCAATTCTTTATTATTATTACTAACATTGTTTTACAAACTGTGAGGATATTCATTACACAGTACAGAGATCTGGTACTCATTTTGAGGAATGAAATGTAATGACTAAACACAGTATAAACAGTATAACCTATTTCACATTTCATAGAAAAGCTATTTGCTTTGGCTAAGTAAATAAATCCTTTCCACTCAGAAACAACTGTTGCAAATATGTAAATTTTAGATAATCAAACACTGTCCCTTGAAATAGTCTATTTATTGTAACTCTAAAAATCATTCTGGGGATACTTAGCTTAATCTCAGGGTACATTATACATTTCACACATTTAACATTTTATTTTGTAAAAAATGCAATTGAAATTGAGTACCTCCTTATTTTGGTGGAGGGTATTATAATCATTTTTCTCTAACTTTTAGATGTCAGGGAATAGTACTTGGATTTTACATAGATATGTTTTGTTTCTTCAGAATGCAAGCTCTGATTTCAGATTTAGTCAGAAAAGAGATACACATAAATCTATATGACCAGAAGAGATAAGTAGATCGTAAAAAGTCCACACACATCATAACCCTGCACATCTAACACACAGATAAGGACAGTTACAGATTATTATGGCATGGATAACTTGATAATCTATGGTGAATCTATGATAAATTTCAAACTATAACAAATACAATGACTCATATTTTTTAAGGAAACAAACCATGAAGGCATAAATTTACCCTGAGATTTGTGTCACTAAGAAACTGAATAGTTCAAAGTCAAACATTATATGACATGCTTTAGATTGCTCTTATGAAAGGCACTATAGAAATGTCACCCTATTATAACCTACTGTATTTAAGAATTAACTGCAGCAGAATAGCCACAGGAGATGAATATATACTGATATGATCATCCCCTCCTATTACTCACCAGTAGTTAATACAAAGCATGCTTTAGAAAAGAATCTATAAGACAAAGAAATAAACACACTGTTAAAAAAGTACTGCATTTAATATCAGGATTTTTAAATTAATTCTAACAAACCCTTATATTGTAGTATTTTATCTTTAATAATAGGAGCTTTTCATTTAAATGATGCAATCAGTATGCCACAAGCGGGTTCTTTCTTTAGTGGGAGGAGTTAGCAGCTCCAACATTCAATTGACCTGTTTCCAAATAATCTACAGGAAAAAAATGAAGATTAAGTCCTCTAACAAGAGCAGTTTTCACAGCCTTGCATACAAAGAGAAGGATTCGGTAAAAAGATGAGAGGGCAAGCCGCATTGTGCTGGCCCACTTAAATCTTATTTCCAATTCACTAAATGTGTTATTTGACTTGGCAAGTGAACTAGTATGTGTATTAGATCAGCAGGGAGCCTAATCAAGGAGATGCCAAGTTTACTGCAGCCCCTCTGAGCTGCATTAGCCTCAACTAGTGACCTTAAGCAAAGTGGGTGGTTGAACCCAAAAGAGAATAGCATTAACTTTTGCTTGAAGTTCAGCCTGAAGTCTCCTTTTGTGCCTTATTCCAAAAAAAAAAAAAAAAAAAATGCAAAAAGCATTTAACAGAATTGAATATAACAGAATTGAATCTAGTCTGCTCAGCACCATCTTCACACGCAAGGCTTCATAGAAGCTTGCCTCCATTAATGCTGACACATGCAAAAGAAATGAAAAGCATTAACTCAGCTGAGGCACTTGATTTTGCAGCTGCAGAACAATTCACTTTGTAACTCAGTAACTAAGATGGGGTTTTTCCGCCCAGATAAATTGCTAATTTGCTAATTGATACAAAAGTATTTTCAAATATTAAATAAACTGCAAATAAAGCAAAAAGAAAAAGAACACTAAGTTACAAGGACACCTGAAAAATATATAGCTTAGCATTAACGGATATACATATTTTTAAAGACCTATTTTACCTTGTACACAGCATTGAGCATCCATTCCCAGTTGTATGTAATAGCTTGGATGTGTAAGTGAACTCTTCAACGATATATTTGTACCAAGTAAAATGCAAACCTGTGTAGTTAAAAAATGTTGTTATATAATAAATTCAAGCAATAGATTTATCTTTAGAAACATCTTTGTTCTCAATTTAGTTTCCCTATTTTAAACTTTCCGTCTTGTCTATATACTCAAAGACTTCTAATAATGCCAGTTTTACACATTGTTTAGAAATACTTTGGAATCTATCTTTAATTCCAGGATGTTCGACTCAGAAATACTCATACAGCAAAAATTGGTTGGATATGAAGATTACAAAGTTATTGAAACTCAAAGACCTTCTGTAATGCCTTTGGTTGTAAAAGTTTTCTCTTTCCTAAGCCAAGGTTCTTTTCTTTTCTTTTTTTATTCATCCTTCATTTTCCACTGTTTGTTTGGCTTCCCTCCTCAGATCTGAAACGAAGCCAAGCAAAGCAACATCACCTTCTGGAAAGTGCAGAAACTGCAATCAAGATCAACAAAGAAAAGCACCCTTCCCATAGATTCATCTCTTTGGCGTTTAAGTGTTTGGGCGAGTCTACAAAACTCAGATTCCTCATTTAACTAGATGTTCCAGGTCACAGAGATATTCTACTAAGGCAATTTTCAAAAGACCATAAAACCACCACATCAATTTATGCTTGCAGGTAGTATAATTGCCTTTGTATCATATATTTTTAGAAAAAGTGGCTTAAAACAATTTGAATAGTGCTTTAGAAATAAGACCCTTAAATAATTGACGCTGGTATTGCCTTTCTTAACTCTGGGATTTCAAAACATTTTCCAAACATTAATTGCAATGGGACCCTGGTGAGGCTGATATTATCATACCTATTTTCCAAGACGATAAGCAGGGAGCGCAGGGCCCGTTTCTTGTCTTGCCCCATGCCCTTCAGAGCTTGTCCAAGCTCAGAGCTCCCTTAAAAACCATTGGATCAGCTCCATGGGAGCACAGAGGAAAATGAGAAATGGGCTCTTGGAGATTTAAGGGATTCTGTAAGGTTGTGTGTGAGTGAGCTGTAGCTAAAAGTCAAAGCTGGAAATCTAAGATTCCTTATTCAGTGCTTGGATATATTTCCTCATTAAGATAATTCATGTAGAATATCAGGCTTGCAGGAATATGCTGGTAAGAAGTGGACTCTGTTGCTGTTTGTTTTTGAGTAACTTATTTAATAACAAAAATGCCTCCCTTTGATTTGAATAAAAATAAATGGCTGGATTTTCACAGGCAGCATGCATAGAAGACCAGCAAGGGCCAACAGTGAATTTCGACACTGACTTTTAAAAATTGTGAAAGAGATGCTAACAGCCTAATTTGCAGTGGAGACTAGATTCTGTGGCTGTATCAGGTGGTGGTATAAAGAAGAGCCATATACAGAAGGTGAAATGAGGGGTTAAAAGTCACGCTAAACATGCTGCAAGGACCTGTGGGCATCCCAACCTTTTTTTCTTTAATTGGGAGGAGAAGAGCTTTTTACTAAAGAGTAAGTTCCACAATGTAGGCCGGTGGCCCAACTGGGAAATACTCTTGATTTGAACAGTTTGCAGCAGTTCTTTTCTGAACTCTTTATATAGATCCTCTTTCAATATGGGGACACATATTTTAAGGTAAAAGGGGTATTTTACTAATTTTTTTTAATGAAGCTTTCACTGCAAGCAATATTTGGAGTTAGTAATCACCGGCTGGTTTCTTTCCCTCCTGCACTGCAGGAATGAGGCCACTTTCACAGCTGGTTGTCAGCACATCTCTTATTACTAACACCAATTATTGATTTTTAAAAGGCCTACGCTATTAGTACCCTGCTACATCTCTTCACGTACAATATGTGTTTTAAAAATTCCTTTTGTAAAAATATAAAATCTGAGTCCAACCTTTCTATCATCACTGTGCTTGTTCTTTACATTTTATCTTATACCTTCACAGGAAAGCAAACCCGGAATCTTTTTTTTTTTTTAACTTTTGGGCTAATTTAGAAGCAGAAATACTTTGCCCATATGATCTCTCTGGCAGGTATCACATTATAAAAAAGCAAATGGTGCGTAGTGAGGGAGGATGAAAGAACATAATTAGAGGGTTTAGGATCTTCTATCCCCTTTTCTCTGCCTTTATTTCGTGCCATCCCAATCTATGTTTAAGCCAATCATAAAAACCCACCTGGCGTCATCCCCACTAGGGTGGCTGCTTTTGCATAGGACTGCACCCCAAATTGGACTTTTCTCTTCTCTTTGAAAGTTCTCAATGAAGGTGAATTTTAGGATTTCTTTCAAAAGATACTATTCACACGTCAGTCATTCTAGTTGTTGATATATTGTCCAAATGATAGGCGGCTCTGAGAATATTTATCTTTAGCAATATTTATGGGTGTATTAGTTTTGTAGAGCTGGTGTAACAAAGCTCTATGAAAACGCTACAAAGCTCACCAAAAACTGGATGGCTTAAACAGCAGAAATTAACGTTCTCATAGTTCTAGAGGCTAGACATGCACCATCAAAGTGTCAGCAAGGTTGGTTTCTGCTGAGGGATGTGAGGGATAATCTGTTTATGCCCATTTCCTAATTTCTGGTAGTTTTCTGGAAATTTTGGCATTTTTTGGATTATAGATGCATTTTCTGGTATCTTCCTTCATGCTCACATAGGATTCTCCCTGTGTGTGTGTCTATGTCTGTGTCTAAATTTCCCCTTTTTATAAAGACTCAGTCGTATTGATTAGGGACCACCCAAATGATTTCATCTGCTAGGATACCATATCCAATTAAGGTCACATTTACTGAGAGAAAGCACTTCAACAACTTTTTGGGCAACATAATTTAAACCATAACAATGGTTTGTTAAATGACGTATATATGATACTATATATATATAAATCATTATTATCATTGATTATGTATATAATCAAATACTATTTTATTATTTACAAAATACATGGTGATCATAAGAGAATATTTTACAAATTACAAATGGGAAAAGTACATGGCATTACTAAAACGTCAGTGCCAATGCCTCAGCAGAGAAAAATTAGTGCATTAATTAGTTACCCTCTGATGGATAGTTTTTAGATAATAGAGACAGGTATTGGTAAGCGAAATGGAATTTTAATTTCATGAGGATGCTAGAAAATTGCAAGTTGGAAGATCAATTTTATTTACTCCATCATTAACATGTGCTAAGTGAATATCTAAAGCAAGCTTGTCCAACCTGCGGCCTGTGGGCTGCATGCGGCCCAGCATGGCTTTGAATGTGACCCAACACAAATTTGTAAACTTTCTTAAAAGATTATGAGGGTTTATTTGCGATTATTTTTCTTTTTGCTCATCGGCTGTTGTTAGTGTATTTTATGTGTGACCCAAGACAATTCTTCTTCCAATGTGACCCAGGGAAGCCAAAAGATTGGACACCCCTGACCTAAAGTGTAATCCATACTCTGATAGATGGTTTTCAGTAACACAAATTCAACATAAAACTGAACATACATTTTCATGAGCAACTACTAGGTTCCAGGTACATGACTGCTATAGAGCATTAGAGTTCTAATACTAAGTAAAGCAGAGTGATTTTTAAAATCTAAATACAGTTTAGCCAGGAAGAGTGAAGTATAAACCAATCATTGAAATTTAGAGGGCACTGTAAAGAAAACCCATATACATGGAAGAAAGAAAAGGCAGGGTCAACTTCTTAGTTGTGAGGAAGGATCTTGAAGAAAAGATTACTCTGTTTTTGCATTGCCATAAAGAAATACTTGAGGCTGGGCAATTTATAAGAAAAAAGGGTTAATTGGCTCACAGTTCTTCAGGCTGTACAGGAAGCATAGTGGCATCTGCTTCTGGGGAGACCACAGGAAGCTTCTAGTCATGGCAGAAGGCAAAGGGGGAACAGGCACATGCTGAAAGCAGGAGCAAGCGAGAGCCAGCAGCGAAGTGCTGCACACTTTTACACAACCAGATCTCCCGTAACTCACTCACTATCATGAGAACAGCAGCAAGGGGATGGTGCTAAACCATTCATGAGACTCCAACCCATGACCCAGTCACCTCTCACCAGGCCCAACCTCCAACATTGAGGATTACAGTTAGACAATTCAATATGAGATTGGGGCAGGGACACACATCCAAACTATATCAGATAATGATAATATGACTTAAAAAAAAAAGATCTGTATAGTCTCACCTAACAGTAGCCTGCCTGGGGCAGGAAGACAAATGGAGTTCATGTCTCTAAATATTTACAATTATAAATTAAGGTAACAAAATTGCTACCCAGAACATATTCAAATGTCCTACCCTGTCAACTATAGCTTTTGAGCAACAAAATATGAAAATAAGTCATGAATCAATGTTTATATGACTGGAGAAAGAAAAATATTAAACATGATGGAATTTGATTATTTCCCATATTTAGATCTTCTGTTTATGAGTAAGGACATTTAAACTAGTAATAAAGGAAACATACATAGTTTATAAATATATGTAAACATTTTATAAAATTTATTTTTCCTACCTTCATTTCAATACAATTCAATAATTTTACTCGTATTTTCAGATTTACACAGATTATGAAAAAATTTTAACCTGAGATTTTTAGTTTTTTAGTTCTAAAGTATATTTTTAATTAAATTTAGCTGTTTTCATAACATTTAATCCACATTACCATCATATGTGCCAAAAAGTAAGGCCAAATTTGATATGTGATTTGCTTTTCAAGAAATAAATTTAATCATCTGGATAACTGAACAAGAGAATGCTAAATATACACTTAAGAAGATAGATAATATTGCAGTTCTTTATTTTTCTGCTTATTACCTGACTTCAAAATGATGATTTCCATAAAATTTCTTGGTAATTCTAAAAGATAGTAGAAACAAATCAAAATGAGAAACAAATGAATAAATAAAATGCAATATTTTATTTGACTTCTGAAAATATATGCAGTCTTAAAGCTATAAACCTTATAACACCAGACCTCCAAAACATCTGGATATGAGGTATTAAATAACATATGGATATCTGATTTTTTTTTCAGATTTCTCCTAGTTTTCGTATAGTGCACATGCAAATTGCAAAGAATCAACAAAGTCTTCCTGATCTCTATATATTTTTTCTTAATAGTTTTCAAGGAAAATGCAGCCAGGCTTGGTGGTCTGGTCATTTGAAATCTCTAAAGGAGCTTAAATATAAGTAAACATCAATGCGAAATCATAAAAACAAAACTGATTGTTATTTCCAACTGCAGTGATTCAATGTTGATGCCCACCCAAGGCAATCCCTTGGTTCCGTCTTCTGACACTGTATTAGAATGTCAACTTGTGGATTCACCTTAGCTGTTAATAAGAAATTTTGTCTTTATCATGAAGATTGGATCTTGGGTCCTTGTGTCAACATTAAAATAGTAATAAAGTGATGAAATACAAAATACCTAGGAATATTATAGGATCTGAATCTTCTAACTGGGTACATAGATACTTGAGCACATTAAATGAATTAGTGTTAATCACAAGTGTATCATGTAACTCAAGTAGATTGTGTGGCCCTGAAATTCCTGAGGGTTGCCTGTTGTTTCACATGCTGCCAGAACTTGAATGCCGCCACCACCCTCCCCTCACCCCACTCCCTGGGGGACTAAGCAGAGATTATTAGACTCTAACTTCCAGAAAAAGGGCTAAGTCTTAAACATATCTAAGATTATTACTATAGAAATGTTATTGCTTAATTTTAATGAGTATGTTGACCATTTAAGTTGACAGTC
Organism: Homo sapiens; assembly: GCF_000001405.40. Taxonomy (NCBI): domain Eukaryota; kingdom Metazoa; phylum Chordata; class Mammalia; order Primates; family Hominidae; genus Homo; species Homo sapiens. The sequence continues at coordinate 92,554,705 of NC_000005.10, read as the reverse complement.
CTTGTCACAATTTATCAAAGACAAATTAGCATAGTTAGAGTCACCAAAAGGAAACTATTAAAACCTAAGTGTTTTCACTTCTTCTGATCTGGCACTTTTCCTATAGAACTATATATCACTTTAGTGCTTCTTAATTAAAAGTGATGTCTTCCTCCAACTTAGATCTGTACTGCAAACATTCCCTGTCCCATGTTGCTTTTGATTTACAAAGTACAATATAAAACTGGATTATATTATCTTCAAATAAAATCAACACCAGTGATGTTGCTTTGAGTGGTTTATAACAGTGATTTCACTAGATGCAGTGAAAATGCACAATACCTGGGAATTAGAAATTTGCTCTTTTCAAATATTGAAACACTTCCCTTTCTTCTAAATTAACATTATATTTTATTAACCTATAAAATCTCATACTATATGTGTACTTGACTTCTAATATGCTAAATTTAGGGTATCTCCTCTTACTAGGTATTTATTATCGATTAAATATCTAGAGCAGTTATTTAAAAATGCCTATTCCTTTTGTAAATTTAGAGGCTATAGATAGATCAAATTGTAATTATGTAACATTTAATTTTTAGATGAAAATTGTATTGAGATAATTTTATATTCACATGCAGTTGAAAGAAATAATAAAGAGATACTGTGTATACTTTACCTAGTTTCTGCTAAAGGTAAACTATAGTATAACATTAGCCTAGGATATTGACTTTGATATCAATTTTATCCAGCTTTTTCAGTTTTATTTTTACTCATTTGTGTGCATGTATATTTAGTTCTATATGCTTTTATCCATATATTGTTATTAATATTTAATTTTAACATGTAAATATTTTCTTAAATTTTAAGTATCTATTAACTGTTGTTTATGAATTATATGACATATAATCGATCCTTAAAAATATAAAATAACTACTAAAATAGGTTTCTTTTAGTATTCTAATCGATAAAAACATTAATTTTAGACTTGGCTAAATATTACTATCAAGTAGTTTGTAAAGGTTGACTAATAGTTCCCCAAATGAATAGTTTAAAAACACCATTGACATTCTTTTTTCCTTTTGAATTCACACCACAGTTTTTAACTAGAGGTTCAAAAGAGGTTAAGAAATATGAATCCATTTTCAGTATTTGGGGCATCAGCTCATTAAGAGTAATAGAGCAGGCTTCCAGTTTGAAAAAGGCACTGACTCAAATGTGTAATGATTTCACTTTCAAATTTCTTTTATCTCAGCTGCTTCTACTTCAACAAATACAAGTGCTTCAGATATAATAAGAAGACTAATGAGGATTGCAGATGATTACAACAATATTATAATACTTCCCAAGGCATAATGACATTTTTTTCCCAAATTAAGGAAAAAAGGTTTTTTCTTGTTAGAGTCTTTATTGCCTGAATATGACCTCAGTTAAAACCAGGAACCCAACTTTAGAACAAATCTATGAATAAGTATTTTTTTAGTAAGACTTCTTAGCTTATAATGGAAGTTTTATTAACTTTAGCAAGGACTATGTATGTGCTACAGGATTACATCCTTAAAATAAAATGTGCCAAAACGGGTCATTTGACATCACTGCCTCATTGCTGTTCAGAGTTGGCATTTTGCTGATCACCTCACCATGTACTCTTGGGTACTTTCTCTATAAAGTGGTTACAAGTCCAGCCTTCTGATGTTATAGTTGGATGCACTATATAAAAGGGCCATTTTCTACTAAGTACCTTACTTGCTTCAGAGCCAGAGTACAGCTCTTTCATCAGTCACAGTTTTGAAACAGCAGGGGTACAATGTATCAGTTTGTTCAAAGTAGACATTGTGCTGTTTACAGAGAAATTGTGACAAATCAGGAAAGAATTTATAACCAACGCTATACAACATAACTTAAACAACAAAAAATAAAGTGCATAATCTGACTCACAAAATGAGACATCTGCAAACCACTACAGCAAATTGTGTAATGAACAGCCTCTCCAGGGTCTTCATGTAATTCAAAGCTGTTTTTGGCTCCCTTTCATTCTGAGTTTGAAGACAGATTATTTTACAAGGTACATCAGCCTTTAGGGAACAGCAATTTCCTCCTTCCCTCAGCCTTGCCTCCCCACAACACAAATGTAACTTTTTAAACTGTTTATCTTTGATCAAAAATATATTACTTAGCGTACTAAGTAAACAGCCGAACATTTTGTCATAGAAATTATTGCTTCCTGTGGCTATTTTTAGTGGCTTTTTTTCCCCACATTTTCTGGGCAATTGGTAATAAGGCTGATAACCCTGCCATTTGTTGCTGTAATGATCTCAGAAAAACATTTTGAAATACGATCTGCTCTTTAGTGTAATGGATAAACTACTATGCTGCCAGGAATTATACCCAACTTCCTCACTCAATAGTCATGGGAACTTAAGCAACAACCACAACCCACACACATAATGCAGGAAACGATACGGAACACATATATTACATTTCTGTGGTGATGTGGTTACCAAGAATGGGCACTAGCGTTGCTGAAGCACCAGAAATATTAAATCAAGATGATGCAAAATATGGAAATGCTGATATACTATACTCAATTGTAAATTATCTTGCTTTTTGAAACAGTTTGCTAGCCACCTATTAAATGATGAATTTTCTCTAAAATAATACATTTAAATATAAAAAAGAAAGCATTTTAAATAGAATGCCATTCAATTTTGCTTTTTGCTGTTATACAAAATCATTTTCAGTCCTATATATATTCACAATACTTCTAATATTCTTGAATACAGCTTCATTATCTTTTTCTTAATTTGAATTTGAAAATATTATAAAACAATCAGCATGCTTCTATTATTTATAAATTCTTTTTAATATTCATATTAGAGAAGTTATATATTTGTACATATTGCCTGTTTTTTTCTGTTTCCAACATTTACTGTGGATGATTTATTATTTGTATATATATATTTTTTAACTATAATTTTGGAACTACACTGCATCTTTACGTCTAGAATAGACCTTAAAAGTTAGGGGTTATCAGCTCTACTTGTTTCTTCTGTGTCTGACATATAGCCAGAGCACATAAAACAAGTCTTTACCTGTTTTCTAATACTTACTGATTGCACTGTGGGTAGTTTGAATTTAGAGACAAATATTTACTTGATTTTTATCAAAAATATATCTATCATACTACTTCTTATGTTTAAATGATTGCTTTTATTTTGTTTCTTAATATAGAAGTACCAGTAATTCTATGAATGGTGAAAGAAAAATAACAGTTTTGTTGTTTCTCTTCTAATATCTGTCTTAATCACTAATCTGATAATTTAAAAATATATATGTATATATTTATATATACATATATATATAGAGAGAGAGAAACAGAGAGAGAGAGAGAAATTTCATGCTCCATACTATGTTTCCCAAATCCTATACCTCTTAAAAAGATTATGGAACCTGGAACCTGGAGAGAAAAAAAAATGAAACCAAACAATATCTCAGAAATGTAGAGACTCGGGATCTGTGAAGTCGCTTCTGATGTGGAGATGCTTTTTGAAGTTTTAAAATGACAGCGTTGAAACATCTCTCTGCCTTCCCTTTGCGCTCTCTTATATCTGCTTAAGTGTCTTTGTCAGAAGTATTCTTCTGGTAACTATGGCTCAATCCAAGAATTCTCTAGAGAATTCTTAAAAGTATTTGTTAACAAATAAGAAAGTTTATTACTGAGGGCAGACCTCATTTTAAAAATATGTTATTCTATTACTAAATGTGCAAAATTGGATATATATATATACACACATATATGCACACAACTGCTTAGCAATCATGTTACGTGTTCCTCAAAATTGCATTTATCTTTATGGTGTAAGACTATCTACAATAATTCTCAAGGTCTGTTTTCTGATGAAGAGAAGGTGGAGATGTAAAATGATACTATTTTTTCTTCCTAAAATTGTCATAGAAACATGTTAAGTCCTTAGCTTTCTGGTCCCCACTGAGGCCCAGAACACATGAGTAGATGATGTAGCAAAATCAAAGATCACTTGATTTTTAAAAGATAAGTTTCACATCTTATATTTTACAACCCAAAAGGAAACTAAGTTCGGAACAATAATAAAGCTAATATTTATGTGTTTAAATTAATAATCTTGTTTGATTTGAGCATATGTTGTATTTTAGGAAGCAATAGTTGAACTACAGAATTTCAATATTATAAAGAATTATAGAAATTATAATGTATGACAAAAGAAAAAATTCTATATTGCCTCTATTAGATTCAAATTAGTATGATAAGAAAAATATACAACCAAAGGTATAATTTTGTCATCACTTCAAATTGTCAAGCACAATTTAAGAAATGTAAAGATTACGTCTGTACAAAGAAAATCTGGCAATGCTTTTCCAATTTTCCTAACTACTAGGATGTAGGCAGAACATACTGATGAAAAACAATTACCTAATAAAATTCTGATATAAGATATAAGAAAATAATCCTGCTTAGCAGAAGTGCAATTTAATCATTCAATTTTATTACATTCTTTTTATTTTCAAATTAAAGTAGAATGCTTAAAAACAGAGAAGTAGCTTTGAAATATTGTGAATGATTAAAAAAATGAATAGTTTAAGTGAGATAAATTCCAAAGGAAAATCAGTGTAAATTCATGCAAACAGTACTTGAGAGACATTGTTCTGAAGGATAGCTTTTTGTACAGATCCATTTTAAAAATCTCAATTATTCAAGGAATGCATTGATTTTAACATCAATTTTTCTTCACAGGCTTTGTTATGAAAATAGGTATATATAATGAAGTGGGCTGCAAGGAAATTACATTTTGCAAATACTCTCCACTTATATCAAAGATAAGGGCCATTCAAGAGTCTCATATATTAGACTAGCTTTGTCCCAATGGAAACATAAAGGAAATTGTGACAAAATATACATTTTTCTTGGTCAGTTAAGACTGTACTCTAGTAACTAGCATTTTTTCCCAGAATAAAACTTTTTGCGCCCCTTTAACTCTTCCACAATGCACTTCCTATTTTTCTGTGTCAGTAGCTGCACATCAAGGTGCACACGAAGGCAAGTGGGATTTCCACGTGCTCTTGTCTGGCTCTATTCAATCAATCGCTATGAGATTCAGTTTTATTTTGAGGAATACCTGGAAGAACATACGTAAAAGACCCTAATAGTACCTGATCCAAAACTGGTTTTTAAAAGATAACTATTTTGTTTTACTTCTTGACATGTATTCAGAGATCTTGGTATGGTTTGATTCAGTCTGTTATCTTTGTGTATTCCTCCCTGTCAAATTCCTTAATCACACAAAACCTATGTTCTTGGAATGAACAGTTCGGTGTCTTTATAGGATTTTTGTCTTTCTTAAATCTGGCTCTCTCATGATGAATACTAATATCTACCATAGAGTACATACCTCTGTATGCCAAGTGCTTTGTATATGTGGATGTCATGATCCCTCTCTTCTATTATAATGAAATGAAGGCTCAGAATGTTTATTCCAAAAGCCTCAAACCACCCTGCTATAAAGTTTCAGAGTCAAAATTCAAACCTAATCTGTCAGATATCAAAGCAGGTTCTCCTCTGAATATGACACACTGACCCCTTTGACATATTTGTCCCGTTATCTCAAATTGTGTGACATGTAAAAAGTTGAACAATTCTAAAAAAAATTAAAATGCCCTCATATTGATGCCCACTGCTTTCTTGTATAGGCTGCTTAGAAGTGTTTCTTGAAATTCAAATGTATTTTCTTTTGCGTTGATGATCTTCCATTTTGTAGAAACTATTAAGGGTTAACTGAGTCATTCTAAAATAATAAGTTCCCCCATACCACAACACAAAACGAAACAAAAATGAACAACTCAGCTTCTTTAAATATTAACTTTGTTCTATAATGTTAAATATTATTTTTAATATAGGGGATTTTGTAAGGGTGTTAAAATGTAAGTAAAGAGATAACATTCTTATTTTTTGCATTGTATATAACTTTCAAAGCGACTGGGTGAATAAAATAATTTTAGAAGTGAAATTTGTATTAATCATAGAACTTCTAGGAATGGCTGGCAATGGGGAAAAAAATGATTTTCAGTCTAATTTCCCTAGGATACAACTTAACTTCCTTCAGGGATAGCTAAGCCAAGTGATCATGGATACAAACTGGCTGTGGTTGGGCAGGCAGCCACTTAACGTATCCCTTAGCTGATAATAAAGTGTATGGTCTGCAGCTGTTTTTAAAAAAGACAGAAAGAATAAAGAGGGAATGGAAGAAAGGAGTAACAAAAGCACCACTAGAAGATACTATGAGGGTGATAAAAACAGGGATACAATCTAATTTGCCTCAACATTGGATGTCAAAACATTTAAATAAAACAATTATACTTGTATAATACATCTTTATTATAAATAAATTCTTTAAAAGTTGTCCAAAATAGAGCAGATACTATTAAGAAAACTTTAATTATCTGCTGTAGTATATGCTGCTCAATAATATAAATCTGTCTATTTTCTTCACTGATGTGTGTAAAGTATCTGTATCAGGCCTGGATCTTAGTAGGTATTCAATAAATATTTTATGCTTGTCTTAATTATTTCATAATATTCTAATATTGTATTCTGATGTGAATAAAGAAATTCAGGAGAAACTTAAGTTTTACTTTTGAATATTTAAGCATTTTATGTGGAATTCTAATTTCATTTGAATAAATGTTTAATATTATGGATATTAAAGCTACTCTACCATATGGGATCTTGTGCCATTTTAGAGTGAGGACCCTGTAGTCAGACTGCCCACATTAGCATCCTGGCATTACCTTATAGTAACTTTGTGACCAAGAGAAAATGGCAGTTTACTTGGGACTTGGTTTCTTGTCTACACAAGATAGGTGTTATTCAGGTATCTATCTCATAAAGTTGAAAAACTACATATTCAAGAGGCGTTTAGGTTCTGGAATTGCATTCTATTTGATATATAAAATAGATACTCATTCACTGATGTATAAATGTGGTACCCATATATAGACAGTCCTACAAAAAACTTACTGAATTAAAGGATCTGAAGGATTTTTAAAGGGTTGGCCATCTTAAGAACATTCTCAATATCTTTGTTTTGGGGATTGAAATGTACATATTGGTACCTCTTTCAGGATATTCAGCTGATAAAAGTACACATTAAGCCATTGCCAGTTCAAACAATACTTCACATGCATTTGAAAGAATACCTAGACAAGAAGCAGAATTCGAAGAGAATAATAAAAGCTAAGGTTTATTGAGCACTTTCTAATGCTCTAAGCTGTCAAATGTCAGGTTAAGTTTTAATGTGATTTCAATGGGTCATAAAAAGGACATTGCTGGGGAAGAGAAAAGTCTCCAGAGAAGTAGGTCCAAGTATAAAACCACAGACAAGTTTTTTTTTTTTTTTTAATACTTTAAGTTCTAGGGTACATGTGCACAACGTGCAGGTTTGTTACATATGTATACATGTGCCATGTTGGTGTGCTGCACCCATTAACTTGTCATTTACATTAGGTATATCTCCTAATGCTATCCCTCCCCCCTCCCCCAACCCTATGACAGGCCCCGGTTTGTGATGTTCCCCACTCTGCGTCCAAGTGTTCTCATTGTTCACTTCCCACCGATGAGTGAGAACATGCGGTGTTTGGTTTTCTGTCCTTGCGATAGTTTGCTCAGAATGAGGTTTCCAGCTTCATCCATGTCCCTACAAGACAGGTATTAAAGCGATTATACCATATGAGATGTTGAGCTGGTTTAGAATGAAGAGCCTGGGAGTCAGACTGCCTGTAGTATTAATAGAATCTTGGCATCACCACATACTGATTTCATGAACTTGGAAAAAATTACTTTATGTTTGTGACTTAGTTTCCTCTCTGCACAATATGTTTTCATATGTGAGAATTAGGTATACTGTAAATTGATTAGAAGAGTTTGCTGATAGAACTTCAATAAATGTTAGCCACTAGTGCAGTCAAGAAGGCCCCATTCTCACAAAGGCCTGATGCTTAGGGTCACTATTTAGAAATTCTTAATAATTTTATCTTTTGTTTTTTGTAAGGGTAGTCAAATGGACAATGGAAAAAGTGCTGAGAGACTTGGAGTCCCTGAAGCCTCCCCACCTCCCCAGAACAGATTCTCAGACATCCAACCAGCATTCCAAAGCTGTCCTCCACCCACTGCAAGGCCTGGGCACAGAGATGAGGCAGGATGGTGTTGGCCACATGTACTCTGTGGCATCTAGGTGGGGCCTGGAGGCAGCCAACCCTATTCCCCAGGATGGCAAGTTCATTGGGCACCCTGATCCAGGAGCTGAGTGCATCTCAAATGTGGAGGTTGCAATCCTTCAGGGATCTCACCTGCTGCAGATTCTGCTAGCAGGCCCATGGGAAGGGGGTATTGACTTTCCCTCCCTTGCCAGCAACACAGTGTGTCAATCCAGCAACTAATGCCACTAACAGTATGGACCCCTGAGAGGCTGTAATCTGCACTCGCCCCCTAACTATCCCATTCCATGGGAGCATGACAAACAGCACAGAGAAGTTGAGAAAAAATAAATTCTGAAAGAAAAGAAGTTTCGTGCCTTAGTACCTTTAATGGTACTCTTTCCTGCTCTTTGAACTATACACCCTATGTTTTTACTTTTCAATGAGTTTTGAAAATTATGTAGTTGTTTATCTTAACTCCTAATTACTGAGTCTGATAAACAAGTTTGTTTATAGAATAGTTCTTGAGCATGTAACATATGCCAAGAACTGACAAAAAGGGAAACTGACAGGAAACCTGTGCTTATCTAGGCTTTGATAGGTGGTGGTGCACCTTGCTTTTGGCTTGCAAGGCATGTTAAAAACAGTAAAAACTGCTGATCACTTTGTAAATTACTTGACTGATCTCTCTGTCTCTCTCTCTCTCTTAACGAGGGTTTAGCTGGAAATAGTTCTATTACTAGAAACACTTAGAACAAGAATACAGTTGCTGAGAACTTACATTTGATTTATTCAGCAAACGTCATATAGAAAGCTTCCTGGCTTTGCTGGCCTAACACCATCTCCTCTCTTTGTTTCCAGCAAGGGCTATAATTTCTAATACTTCCAATAGTGTCTCAGGAATCAGAACTAATACAGAAAGAATATCAAATGTAAATGCAGAGCGGCAAATAATCGCTTATATGAGAGACAGTGTAGAAGGCTTGATGGAAAACCTTAAACAGTGAGACCATGGTTACATAATGAAATATTCAACTCAGTAAAATTATGCCATCCATTGATGGCTAAGGGACCAGGGTTTCTTCCAAATTCAGGGCAATCTTAGTAAACGTGTTCATTTCATATTTAAAACAAAGGACATGAATAGTATTTTTTGCATGTCAAATACATAACGTAATAAAGCTTTCATTTCATATAATGGGTTCGCTTAGTAGTTAGAACTTGAATCTTTCAAGTGAGTTTGGAATTTTTGAATTGCAACTCAACACCAACTGCTTCAGTGAGTTAGGATTCTTTTGATCTAAGAATTATGACACATTTTAAGAGATAATTAGGAAAAACAAATCCAAGTGGAACTAAATATCTAATAAGAAGCATAAAAGTTTATGTTAAGAGATACGTTTTCTTATTTTTCATCACTGTATGTGATTGTATTCTATTCATGGGTGGGCAAACTCTAGTCCATGGGCCAAATCCAGCCTGCCGTCTGTTTTTATACAGCCTACAAGCTAAGAATCATTGTATTTTATGTGGTTGATAAAAAGAATATTATGTGACATGCAAAAAATTCAAATTTTATTGTCTATAGATACTCATTTGTTTATGTATAGTCTATGTCTGCTTTCTCATGACAAGACAGAGTTGAGTAGCTGTGACAAAGTCCATATGGCCCACCAAGCCTAAAATATTTACCGTCTGATCCTTTGCAGGAAAAGTTTGCTGACTCTGTTCAAGCTCACCTACTGATCTTTCTGTGAAACAAAATACCACAGAAAATGAATGCTTGCACAATAGTCTGAGTCCAGGCAACTTAAGCAAAATAACTGTTTTCATTCCCTCTAGTACCTTAATTTTAATCAATGAGTAATAAAAATTTCCAAAGTAGTTATTGCACCAGTAGAAAAGTAACGCTAAAAGTGAAATAGATTTTTGCAGCTTGCAAGAGAAATATAGCCACTTCTGCCCAAAAAAAGTTTTTGGACTTTATGCTCAGCTTCAATCTAGACATGCCATGATTCCAACAGTGACAGCATATCATAAGAGAGGACAGAGTTGGCAAAAATCTGACTTCAGACCAGCTGCATGAATTTGCTCCAGTATTCCAGCGGGGCCCTGGATCAGTAGATCTCTGGTGAGAACGCAGATTAACTAGATGTCTCCTCAGTAGAGATCTGCTTTCTATTCTCCAAGCTACTTGACTTCACATAATTTAGAAGGTCATTTTTTTCCTGTTTCTTTCAGAGCCAGTACAACCATCCATTCTCAAGTATGTACCAATCCGTCACTGGAATGTAAAATATTTAGTTTCATGCAAATGTGGGCATATATCTGGAAACTTCTGGTTCCAACCTAATGGGCCAGGCTTTGAAAATAACTTTCTCAATGTGTTGAAGAATGTGTTCTCCATTTTTATGGCATTGCTTTACTTACTGTTATAGTGATTGTTGTACACCATTACACTTTAAATATATATTTATATCTTCACACACTTTGCTCATCATATGCACTTTAAAAAGATGCTTCTAAGTAGAATAAAAAGATATTTTCATTTATGACAATTCCACTCTGTGAGGCAGAGATGAGAGTTTGAATTCTTACATTAAGAGTCTTAAACAAACTTTTTAACTTGCACTTATTTCACTTATTTTTCTTTAAAATAATTACTTTGTAGGCAGAAGTTAATATCTTTTACTTGTAACTTAAAGAAGTAAGACTTTCACTAGCACTATAAAGTTGCGGCATTGCTTTTAATTATAGCTTGTAGATTTACTAGAGTGTTGGTTGAAATGCCAATGTAAATTTAGAGTGCCACTTAGAAAAATCATTGTCTTTGAAAAACAAATAGATCCTTAAAATCCTTATTATATGATCAGCTTAAAAAGAAATGGGGGTTAAAAATCAGATATTTTTAAAAAGATGTTTAGCTCTGAACCTACTGAAATACTTAAACTCTAAGTCAAGTGCTTAGATCATAGGAAAATAGTTCCAGGCCAATAGGTCTCAAGCTGTTCAAACACTTCCTAGTATGTAAAGAGAAACAATTTTAAAAAGAAAGTTTAAGCAACAAGTTTCTACAGTACATAGCAAGCCTTATATGTATAAAACCTGCAATGATTTGAGGCCTGCTGAATTCCAATCTCACATATACTTTTAGATTGGATCTAATTTATAAACATAAAACAAGTTTACCAGATTGCCAAGCAAATTAAAATCAGAAAAACAAAACCAGATGCTTTTTTGCTCACAAGGAGACACAGGATGAGAATCTCATTCTTGCTGTGTTACTAATAGAAATTCTGAGTTTATGGCCTTAATGTTCAAGTTTGGCCATATTTATTCTATTTTTAATGTATATATGTTTTCCAGAAAAATTAACTTGATAAGTAATTCCCTTTCTTTCCCAACTGATTGGTCTAAATTTCTGTTATAAAACCGAACAGGCGGCCGGGCACGGTGGCTCACGCCTATAATCCCAGCACTTTGGGAGGCCAAGGTGGGCAGATCGCCTGAGATCAGGAGTTTGAGACCAGCCTGGCCAACATGGTGAAACTCCATCTCTACTAAACATGCAAAAAAATTAGCCGGCCATGGTGGCAGGCACCTGTAATTCCAGTTACTCAGGAGGCTGAGGCAGGAAAATCACTTGAACCTGGGAGGCGGAGGTTGCAGTGAGCTGAGTTTGCACCATTGCACTCCAGCCTGGGTGATAAGAGCAAGACTTCATCTCAAAAAACAAACAAACAAACAAACAAACAAAAAAACCAGGCATTTCTTATACCATTGTTGAGTTGGGAATACCAGTGAATTTGTACGTATTAATGATATCTCTTATCAGTTGGCTCTCTCACCCTAAAATGAGAACTTTGGCCACTTGGTGAACATCTGTTCATTCCATCATTAGTTATTAGCTTTGCACTGAGAATCAATTTTTCTTTTTTTAAATTATACTTTAAGTTCTAGGGTACATGTGCACAATGTGCAGGTTTGTTACATAAGTATACATGTGCCATGTTGGTTTTCTGCATCCATCAACTCATCATTTACGTTACGTATTTCTCCTAATGCTATCCCTCCCCTAGCCCCCCAACCCCAACAGGCCCTGGTGTGTGATATTCCCCGCCCTGTGTCCATGTGTTCTCATTGTTCAACTCCCACCTATGAGTGAGAACATGCAGCATTTGGTTTTCTGTCCTTGTGATAGTTTGCTTAGAATGATGGCTTTCAGCTTCATCCATGTCCCTGGAAAGGACATGAATGCATCCTTGTTTATGGCTGCATAGTATTCCATGGTGTATATGTGCCACATTTTCTTAATCCAGTCTATCATTGTTGGACATTTGGGTTAGTTCCAAGTATTTGCTATTGTGAATAGTGCCACAATAAACATACATGTGCATGTGTCTTTATAGTAGCATGATTTATAATCCATTGAGTATATGCCCAGTAATGGGATCACTGGGTCAAATAGTATTTTTAGTTCTAGATCCTTGAGGAAACACCATACTGTTTTCCACGATGGTTGAACTAATTTACACTCCCACCAACACTGTAAAAGTGTTCCCATTTCTCCACATCCTCTCCAGCATCTGTTGTTTCCTGACTTTTTAATGATCCTCATTCTAAGTGGCATGAGATGGTATCTCATTGCGGTTTTGATTTGCATTTCTCTGATGAGCAATGATGATGAGCATTTTTTTCATATGTCTGTTGGCTGCATAAATGACTTTGAGCCTCAATTTTTCTAAATATAGTGCTGGGCATTTTTCAGTTTTCTTATTGGGATCATCCTTTAGTGCCTTTGACTTTGCATGTGCTGCCCTGGTCTTTCCATTTCAAGCCCATTCCCTACATGTAAAAGGGGGGAAGAAAACCAATTTTTTTTAAGGTACAGAAGTTATGCTCTGTATGAGAGAATGGAGAATTATTCTCTCATGAATTCAGCCACATTTTTGTTACCTCTCGCCAAAGCTTCTTTTCATATACCTGGTGTCTCAGAAAACTTCTCATGAAAATAGTTCCTCTGACTTTGTTTATTGTGGGTTTTTTTAACTTTTATTTTTGGCTCGGGAATGTGCAGGTTTGATATACAGGTAAATTGTGTGTCTCAGGGGTTTGGTATATATATTATTTTGTCACCTAGGTGATAAACATAGTACCCAATAGGTAGCTCCTCCCACTTTGAATGAACCATCCATCAATCAGCCCTCCTCTGCCATGCTTGCGTTCCTGCCACCAATCTAGAAAATAAAAGTTGTTGATCGGCAGTCTTCTGTCATAGAATTATTATTTTTTTTTTTAATTTTTGAGACAGGGTCTCACTCTGTCAGCCAGGCTGGAATACAGTGGTGCAATCTCAGCTCACTGCAGCCTCCGCCTCCCATATTCAAGCGATTCTTCTGCCTCAGGTTCCTGAGTAGCTGAGATTACAGGCCTGCACCACCATGCCCAACTAATTTTTGTATTTTTAGTAGAGACGGGGTTTCACCATGTTGGCCAGGCTGGTCTCAAACTCCTGACTTCAGGTGATCTGCCCGCCTTGGCCTCCCAAACTGCTGGGATTACAGGCATGAGCCACTTAGCCCTGCCTGTCAGAGAATCTTTTTTAAAGGAAAAAATTGCAAATCTTTATTACTGTAGAATAAGTGTATTGGTTACGTTTTTATTTTCTGTTTAGCTATTTATTTGAGAAATGCAGAAACTGGTAAAGATAATTAGAAGAAAAATAATGTACTATTTTTGTGAAAATGTAGCTTAAAATGAAATTAAAGCACCATATTTGTGATTTGTAACAGAACATTGGATAACTTTCAAAATCACTCAATTCAAGAAGTAACATTCTAAACTGGATTTGAACTAATGACCTAGATATAAAGACTATGTGAGTCACTAATTGTAGCCCTTAGACACCAAGTCCACTAAGGATAAATAGTGTTAATTTATGTGATCTTTAGGACAAGAACACTTAGATAAGGCAATACATTTACCAGTTTAAATTGATACAATCAATTGATTGTATTGATTTTCCAACACATCACATACATTCATTGAAGCTCAGCATGTGTGAGTGTTATATCCACATACATGTATAGTGTATATAATTTTATAAATTCTAATAAATTTTATAAATATAGTCTTTTCAGAAAGAATATAAATTTATTTTTATTAATAAATAATAAATAGTCTACTGTCACAATAACCGTTTTAACAGGATTGTTTAGTTCGAAGCATAAGGTGACGTTAGTAAAGGGCTGGTTTTCTGTAAATATTGGATTTTAGGACTGAATGTGAATAGAATTTGTTGGTATCCAATGACAGTTACAATTATGAGGCATTGCTACAACATGTGGTATGTGAAGTTAGAAAACCTGGCTTTTTAAATACTTGTTAGTTAGAGCAAATCAATTCACTTTATTTAAGTTGCTTTGATGGTAACATTTTTATCAGTTTTAAGGCAGAGGGCTAGACAAAGGACTTTTGAAAGTATATTTCATTTCTAAGATACAAAAGCATATGGTTTCAAATGACATTTCAAAATTAAAATTTGTATCAATCAAGAATTTAACAAAACCAGTTCCAAATAAAATTATATTTGTTTACCATTTTTTCTGAAGTTTAATTTGTATGCTAAAATATATGATGATCAACATTTATTTTATTTTTGACTTCTTTTGTTTAAAGTAAAGGAAACTTTTGCTAGCAGACATTTTATAAAACCATGTACAAATACAGTTTTGAGAACTGGATCAAAACCGATGTCATTAAATTGAAAAATTATTGGTTATTTATGACAGTGCAGAACAGATGCAAAGAGTTAAAACAGGGCTAGAATAAGTGAACATTTCTCAGCCCAGGAAATTTTTAATATTAAAGTCCATTGAAAAAATGGTTTTAAAATGTTTTAAATGATTTAAGTGAAATTCATCCTAGTGGTATGCTGAACTGAGGAGAATATTTTATACAATTGTTGTGCATAGAACTCTAGCCAATAATTTTGAATGTGAACAAATGTTCAGTAAGAGAGAAATAATCCAAACAGTTAAAATAAGAAAAGGGAAAGTGAAGAAATTGATTTACAGATTCAGTTCCTTTCAATAATAGAAAAGTTCAGTTTCTTTCAGTGTCTCAAGAGGGTGGCATGGAGGAAAGGGATAGTAAAGAAGAATCAAGTTTGTATTCATTCTCTTTTGAATTGCATTTGATTTGTTACTATCAATATGAATTTCTTATAATTAATAAAAGGCATATGCTGAGTGATCCAAATGAAACAATGTTCATAATCTAGGGGATTATTCTCTAGGAGAGAGACAGAACTATATGTAAAGGAGATATCTACTATACACCTGGATCAGGATATTCCAGAATGGTTAATTTGATTCAATGAGGCCATTGCATTAGTCAGCTTTGACTGCCATAACAAAATACTGTAGGCTGGGTGGCTTAAACACCAGAAATTTGTTTCTCATAGATCTGGAGGCTGAAAAGTCCAAGATCAAGGTACCATCCAGTTTGGTTCCTGGTGAAGGCCCTCTTCTTGGCTTGCTGTATGCTTAAATGAATATACACACAGACACACACACACGCGCACACACACACAGAGCACTCTTTCTCTTCTTATAAGACCACTAAGCCTATTGAATTAAGATCCCATCCTTATGACTGCATTTAATTCCTCTTCTTATAAGACCGCTGAGCCTATTGAACTAGGATCCCACTCCTATGATTGCATTTAACCTTAATTACCTCCTAAAAGCCCTATATCCAAATATAGACACATTGGGGATTAGGGATGAAACATGAATGTGGGGAGGATACAACTTAGTTCATGAATGGAGATTCTCTTAGACATGAATGGAGATTTTCTTTAGCTTTAGCTTTGTTCTGAAAGTTGTGCACATAGGGCTTCCATCCTCATGGGTCTAATTAATGTTGTCAGAGAATATTCATAACCTAGGAGTTACTGCTTCTGCTGCTCAATGCTAAGGCAGCTGGGTACTTGATGAAGTTGGTGTGACATTCTCTACAGGTAAGAACCAATGTTGTAAATAATTAAAGTTTCTAATCCAGCAAGCATGATTTGGGTTACAGAAAAAAATAAAACACCTTGATTCAGAAATTCAAATACTAAGAAGAGAAAAAAAAATCCAAAACAACAACAACAAAACTGAAAGAAATAAAATATTATTAATGGACTCGGGAGAAAAAAAAACAGAAAAATAATATAGGAAATGAAAGCTAAATTACATGGGGCCCAAGGATGAAGAAATACAAACAAGAAGTTAGTAAGATGCTTAGAGGAAAAGAGGAGAAACAACAGATAGAATGACAATGAGATGAAGAATAAAGAAGGCACCAAAATGAAAGGAAGACCCTAAAGAAGAAAAAAAAAGTAACTAATTTAATATTTAAACCATAATCCAAGAAAACTTTCAGGGAATTAAAGATAGGACATTACATATTGAAAAGGCCCAGATATTTCCTGAGAACACAGTCACACAGTTATCAATTCTGGGCTACACTCTAGTACATTTTTTAGATTTTAAAGATGAAGTAGAAAATCCTCAGGGCCTCCATACAAAGAAGCAAATAATTTACAAGGACCAAAAATCAGACTGGCAGCACCATTCTATTCAAAAGCAGCATACAAATCAATATAAAAATGAATCAGCATTGAAACACAAATCAAAATAAGGATAAATCAGTATAGAGGAAGCAGAGGAGAAGGAGGAGGAAGAAGAGAAAGCAGAGGAGGAAGGGGAGAGTGGGAAGGAAAGAAACAAAAAATCAGTGTCAACTAAGAATTTTATTTTTATTCAAGCTGTCCCTCTATGAACAAGATTTTAGACAGACAATCATTTTTAAGCATGCATGAACTCAGGAAATATTGTTCCAAAGATTCATCGTGGGAAATTTGTGGGTGTGTGTGTCTGTATCTTAAAGTTAATTTATAATCTTTATTCAATCTTACTATAAACATCAAGTTTTTTTAGCTAGTCAGGATATTAAAATTCACATGGAAAATAAACTTGTAAGACTATCTAGGAAAACACTATCCAATTGAAGCTGTGAGACAGACTGTCTTACAATATATTAAAACATGCTATAAAGCCTCTATAATCAAAATTGTATAATTGTATAGCTCTGCCTTTGAATTCACTGATCCTATTTTCTTTGCCATATCTAATCTTCTGTTATGAAAAGCAAGTAAGTTTTCCCCTCCACTTCAGTTATTATACTTTTTAATTCATTCTAGAATTTTTAGTTTTTCTTTTATAGTTTTGATTTCTCAGAGGAGATTCCTTATTTATTCAGTCATTAATACCATATTTTTCTTTATATACTGTGTGTATATCTATGTATGTATGTATGTATCTATCTATCTATCGATCTATCGTAGCTCTGTGTGTGTGTGTGTGCGTGTGTGTATGAAATAGCTGCTTCGAAGTAATTATCTGTGAAATCTAGTATCTAAACTACCTTGGGTTACTTTCTGTTAAACTTTTTAACTAGAGGTTACATTTTCCTATTTACTTAGATGTTGAATACTTTCAGATTGTATGTTGAACCTTTGGGGTGATACGTGGGATGATGTCTTCAAAGAGTTTTGCTTTGTTGTTTGTTTTCTGATTGACATCTTGCACAGAGATCCAAATTAGTGTGGATCTGTAGAAAGCCCAATGTTTTTCCAGGTTCCTCTCTTGGTGGAGTTCTACTTCCAAATTCTCTCTCCCTTGATGATTTTGTTAAGGCTTAGATTTGGGCTTTGTCAGGGCTAATCTAGTGTAACGTGATATTACTATGAGTGTGGTTCTTATTCCTAATTTAGAGCCTTTTTGGGGAGTCAGATGATTTCTTCTTTTCTGGCTGGGTCTGGAATTCTCATGTCTGTAAGTACTATCTAACTTCTATGGTCTGTGTTCATCCCGTAGCAGCGATTCTATGGTAAGCTCATGTCAGCGTCCCACTCTGATCTTTGCTTGATCTCCATCTTGCTGTAGAGATTCAGAACAATCATGGAGCTCATTTCATGAGTCATGCTTTTCTCAGGAATGGCAGTCTGCCCTGCCTGCTGTTTAATGTCTGAAATGGTTGCCTCATACATTTCCCCCCAATGTCGTGATTGGTTAGCATGCCAGGGTGAGTTTCGTTCCAGGTATTTTCTCAGAAGTAGAAGTCCCTTGTGTAGTTCTTAATTGTCTTACTTATTGGTATTTTGTAGATCTTATTCAATAAATTGAAATAGTTTTTCTGCTGGAAGATTCTTGCATTTTTAGGATTAAATCAAAATTGGTCAGGTTATGTTTCTCTTCTTATATGCTATTGGGTCAAATGTCTTAGTATTTTAACTGGTGTTTTATATAATATTCACAAGTGAAATTAATGTCTAGATCAATTTTTAGTGACTTTTTTTCTTTGGTGACAGAAAAGTGATATCTTCAAGAATAAACCAGAAAACTTGTTATGTGTTTTTGCATTTTAAAATCATTTATACAAAAGTTATTTCTTCTTTGAATAGTTGATAAAATTTTGCATATCATTTTAGATATAATCTTACTTCAGGGGTACATATTTACAATTCTTTGTTATTACAAATACTACTGTAATAATAATTCTTTTATGTTTTCTTATACAAGAGTTTCCTTTGAATACATAATTGGATTTGGAATTGTGATTTTATAGGACATAGACATATTACCAAAGTTTTCTCCAAAATGATAATAGCAATTTACATGTCTACCAGTAGAGTATAAGCCTCTTTATCCATGATGCTCACTCATATTTGTTATAGTCACTATTATAATTTAGAGAAATTTGACAGACAAGAAATATTTTATTCTGGTTTTAATATACATTTTCCTGATCTAGATGAAATTGAGGATCTTTTTATATTTTCATTTTCCATTGTTCATTCTAAACCTTTACATAATTTTCTATTAGGTGTTTAAAATATTTCTTCCTAATTATTAGGCGTTCTATATAAAATCTGAATGCCAAGCCAATGTCAAACTTTTCCCTTGCAAATATCCTTTACCACTGTGGCTAGTTTTTTACTTTGTCTCTTTTACTGGAGGTTGTTTTAATTTCAATGTAGTCGTTTTTATAAATTATCACTTTCCCATTTCTGGCTTTGTTTTCAGCATTTCTAAGAAATCCTTTCTTATTCAAAGGCCATAGAGACATTTTCTTAAATTTTCTTTTAAGATTCGTAAATTTTTATTTATAAATTTATTTCTTTACATGTTATCTTTTTATGTTATAGGTTTTGATTAAATTTTTATATGCATAATCAATTTTTTACCCCTAGTTATTAAATTGTTCACTGTAATCTCTTTAGGTTGGTAACATCTCTGATACAATTTCTATACCATATGGTATATTTCGGCACTCTCAAGTCTCTTATATTTGCCTTTTCTCTGAAAATATTACAGTGTTTAAGTACTAATGTTTTACAATAATTTGGATATTTGGATGACTAAGTATTCCCACTTCATTTTCCTATGAAATTTTCTTGCCTGTTCTTGGTCCTTTGCTCTTTCTTGGGCATTTATGGAATTTGTCAGGTTTCTATAAATGATTATTGTAATTGCACTAAACGTATTGATCATTTCATAGAAACTTGGTATCTTATTGAGTCTTAGGTTGTATGAAAATACTGTCTGTTGAAACTTATTTGGGATACTGTCTTATGTCACCATATTATATTATATAATTTTATCCATAAAGTTCTCACACATTTTTATTGGATTTAATCCTAACTTTGTCATGGCTTTTGTTGTAGTGGTAAATAGGATCATTTCTTTGTAACATTTTGTAGTTGGTTTTAATCAGTACATAAGATGATTCTAATTTTTGAATATTAATTTTTCAATTTAGATACCCAGTTTATCTTATTAAGATATAATATTTTGTTCAGAGATTGGCTTGATATCCTACAGTATTATATTAGCTGCCATTCAAGATACTTTTTTCCCTTGTTTTCCATCTTATAAGTAGCATTGTTTGCTGCAAGAAGAGACATAGTACCTTACAAAAGTAAGGAAGACTGGGAAATGTAGCCTTCCTGTATACTCAAGAACAGTAAATGGGAGTGGTAAGCATTCAGCCAGTGTCTCCTACTATCTGCACTTTGGTAACCAAATATGCATCTCTCTCTGCCCTCCCAATTATATACTCACACAAAATAAACTGCCTAACATGTCATCCAGGCGTTGCATTAAGTTCAAAGTCCAAGATACCTCTTTTGTGCCAGTGTTTGACACTATAAAAAAAGATACATATCACCACACCAAGTATATAGTGGTGGAATGGGGACAGGATCATTATACTAAATGCTTCTGAACATAAGGGAGTAAACTGAAGAGTAATTGAAATAGAGTAATTTGAAGCCATCACTGGACCAGCATTGTGAAGGCTCTAATTGTGCTTTCTAGGAGGAACTTATTTGCCCATTGTT